>NC_000006.12:121131396-121434426 GCF_000001405.40 Homo sapiens
TTGCTCACCAAGACTGTTTAGACAGTTCCAAAAAGAAAAAAACAATGCTTAGTAGTGTCTCATATTTTAATTTGTGTTCTCTCAGGATCCCAATTTTCTCAGAAATCAGCAAACTTCTGGATTTAGCATTATGTTTTCTACATATGCCAATACTAATCTTTAAGAACCACAGATTCTATTAATATAATTTTCATACATAAGAAAACCCACAATGGAAACAATGTACTTACCCTCTCCACTGATTATATCAGGTTTGGCTTTCATCATTTTGCAAAATTGTCTTTGGCAGTTTTCTATCCATTCAGTTTGTTTATCAGATATTTTGAGGCATAATAAAAGCTTGTCAAGATCATTGTCTAATCAGAAAGATAACATACTATTATAATAAGACATGCTAGATATACTGAAAAATTATTAATGTTAACTATGTAAACAGTTGAAAATTCCATATGGAATACATATGGCTTTCAAAGGAAAACAGATATTCTTCTGTAATTACATCTTATACCATCAATTGTTTGTTACATGTATTAAAAGTTGACAACAATGAATTACTGAATTATTAAAAGCTCATAAAATGGATTGTGATTTGTAACCATAATTCTTGAATAGTCTTTTTCTTATATGAATATGGCTCATTACTGAGTATCTGTTTTAATAGACAGCGTGAACCTTAAAATTTCACTATGTGGACTGACAGGAACACTACACTCATTCCTCATGTACTTTCAGATACAATTTTTTATTCACTTCTTTAAAAAGCAAAAAGAAAGCATAAGTGTAAAAAATCTTTAGTCAATCATTTATTCATCTTGGAAAAAATATGCTGCTGAAGGGGTTAAAACATGCTATTCTGGCATATTGATTATTTAAATTAAAGACACTGAAAAACAGCAAGTGCAAGATCACGTTGAGCTTCGTGTTGTTTCTCTATAAAGAAAATGAAATTCTCATGTGAAAGACACTCTCTATACTAGAAGAAAAGACAACATATTTACCTTCAAGGATGAGAAGTTGAGACCAGAGAATACTTTGCAAACCTTATTAAAATGACTTATCTTTTAAGCCTCCCACATAATTTAGTCACATTTTCACAGTTTATTATTCTTTGTTCAACTCAGTATATAGGTAACTGCTTCTTTGAGTCTTCATTTCCCTATGAGAACTCTCATGCCATGTAAAACTTGTATTATGCTTTTCTCCTGTTAATCTGTTATTTCAGTTTAATTCTCAGATTCTGCTGGGACCCAAAGAGGATGGAGGTAGAGATTTTCTGCACATAAACTGAAGATAATGAATAGAGCTAAAGAAAGTATTTATGGCTAAAATGTAACTTTTCTTCTAAGTGAACTCATTAATACATAGCAGATTCCATTTAATTGCATAGCTTTAAAGGTACTTATACCCATGAGATTTTATTTTTAAAAAATCAACGAATAATATAGTAAATGAATAGTTAAGTGTTGTTAAAAAAGATATATGCATATGTATTCATATACACATATACATATGTAAAAATTCAAAGGTGACGAAAGAGGCAAAGATGTTCTCTTATTTTCTAGAATAAAATGGGAGAACCAGTAGCCAGATTAATTCATACCTTTTTCTTTACCACTTCTCTTGAAAGAGATTTTGATAAAAAGAGAACAAGAACCTTTTGAAATTATAGGGTTAAAGGCTTAATTGTTTCTGCTCTAAATTATGGTATGGGAAGATTAACACTACAAAATCATCTACCTAAGCTCTATTTTAGGTTAATTAACCCCACCAGCAAGATACTAGTGGTAAACGTGATACTTGAGAGGGTTTCAGCTAACAATGTCTTACTTTTTTCTTAAAGAAAATTATAATGATGAAAACAAGTCTTTATTGTTCCAGGTTTTAAAAATCAAAGAAGCTTTCCAGCATAATACAACTATTTAAATTTAACTTTTCAGCCCAATTTTTATAAAATTCCATTTACTATATACAGAAGTCCTCCTGTGTGGATATAATAATCAAGACAATATCACTGCCCTCATGAAATGCACATGTCATATAAAGCATATGCATGTATATGTGTGTATATACATGTAAACAAACAGAAAATAATACTGTAATCAAGGTATGTCATTCCTGTGATGTAAAATTTCAGTGTTATTTAGCCCTAAGAAAACTGCTACGTATTGCTGCATGATCCTCATGATTATCATATATAAAATCAGATTTATGTAAGTATTTCCCTATTTGACATTTACGTCAGAAAAACCCTTTTTATACCAAAGCTACATACATACTCTCTCATACAAACACATGAATACACAGATACATACACCAAACACATGTGGACTCACATAAATACACACATAAAGCAAAAAGCTCTTTTGTTGAAAGCATATGTAATTCTGCTATTCAGTACTAATCTATTTTATTTGAATACCAAGACTACAATGATACGTTTCACAAATAGCCTCTGTCAGAAGCAATAACTAGAGAAAAATTATCAAGCATTAAATCAAAAGAGAAAATGATTCTTTTTAATAAAAACACTTAAAACTATAAACTCATAAAATTTCAACACAGCTAATAATTTTACTGAAAATTATGTTATTGCTAACAAAAAAGTTTTAATGTTAAATGTATCTTGACAAGAATTAGGTAAAGACTTAATTCGACATTATTGAAATTGAATTTTTATTGTTTTCATTTAAAATATCCACATTACATATTGCCAAGAATAAAATATCTACAGTCTAATAAGAAACACTAGTGACACATGATTGCAAAGATAATGCAGTTTTTTCATCTTTGTTTCCTCCTGTTTTCTTCTTCTACTCATGTGTAACTCCATCTTTTACCTCCTTCAAACAAAGGATGTTACTACCTCCTTCAGAGGACATCCATATAGCCCTTTCATAGGCTATCTGTTATTTATAAATCTGTTTTCTTTTTACTCCTCCCTCCTCTTGCTCTCCATTCTCTCTCCTTTCACACTTGCTATTCTGTTTTGCTTTCTCATCATCTCATTCTAAGGAAAAGAACACAAGGCACTATAATTGTAAACAGCACCGAGGCAGCAGATGTGGTATGCGCCTGAATCTACCAGTTGGTAGACAGCCTGAAGGACCCAGTTTAGATAGCTGGAAATTGGATTTGAGGCAATAAAGAAATGCTGAGCTGAAAACAGGCTGACTAAAAGACTATTAGAGAGACAGCTTTGTACCCTGCATTATACTTCTGGCTACTCTTCCCCCAGCCACCATTGAGAGTATATGCTTTACAATTTGCATTACTCAAAGTTAAAAATATGAAATGATGTGATATGATATTAACTGAAAAACATGTATATCTGTGATATTACTGAGTTTGAGGGGAACAATAAATAATTCATTTATCTTCTCCAAATTTGGGACCAACTGAGAAGCCAATAGGTATAGATAAACAGAGTTCAAAGTTATCAGTGTTAGTATATAAACAGCTAAATTAAGCATCATTGCTTGCATCTACTGCCACATGGCCTTCTAGATGTCTTCCCTGAACTGAATACCATAAATCTATTCAGCCATAGGCAGACAGAGACAAAGGCCCCCCTGACTGTTCTTGCTAGAAAAAGTGCAAAAATAATCTAAAGACTGGCTAAATTAAAAGTGCAGCCTACAAGTAGGCTAGCCCATGACCTTCTATTCCTTCTTCCAGATTCACTTATCAGCCATTCCTCTTAACTTATGCAGAATGAGTAAGGAAGTCCAGGGAGAGGCCAGTGGTATTACTCCAGCAAAGGCCCTTTGATATGGAGACATGAGGTAAGGGAAAATGAAAGCTCCTCCATAATAGATATTTTATATGACAATTCTAAATTAGTGACTGTGAGTGTAATATGAAAAATACATAGAATTCCATATTTCCCAAAATTTATATATGGAACATTTCTATATTTATAATCAGGAAAAAAAGAATATTAAAAAAAGTTTTCCTTCTGGCCACGATGGAGGAACTAGGAATAGACTTGCCTTCTGCTGTAAATAACCAGACTGGATAAAATATATCAAATAACTGTTTTCAGACATTAGCCAATGGGCAGTGCAGGACTGTAATGTCTGAGAAAAGGGAAACCAATGAGGTGAGCTTTATGGTTGTCCACTTTCTTCCTGGAGGTTTTGCTGAATTAAGGAGACAGGTGTCAGATTTCAAAGAGATTAAAGAGGCTAAAATTTGTGGATTAGAATACTGGAGAGAAAGAGCTCTAGCAAACTGGCTAACTATTTGTCAAGTTGGCTGCTGATTAATCAGCTGTGGAAACTAAGGGTGAAATTTCACAAGGCTGAGAAAGCAACAGCTGGGGGTTATAAACTGAATAATTCCCAGAGCACACCTAGAGTTACAAGATGTCCAAGTTCCAAACAGAATGGAGAGTACTAGTTAACTACCTGGGTTTTCCACAGAGGTCCCAGAAAGGTCACACCTTGGTAACAGGTAAAATTAGTCTTAAAGTAAGGCAATTATACATCCACCCTAACAAAAAAATGGAAGCCCTGACAGTCAAGCTGATCCACAAGCAACTTAGATGCCCACCAAAAAAATGTCCACCACTCCTTAAGGAAAGGCAACAAAATTTAGCACTCAATGTAAAGCTAATAATGTCTAATGCCCCCCAAAACTCCCCTAACATGAATAAAAAGAAAGAATGTGACTCATAACTTGCAGATACATCAATTAACAGATTAATAGACACAGATTCACAAAAGATTGAAATTATCAAGGACATAAGAGCAATTATTTTTAGGGATTTAAAGAAAACACAAACCAAAAGTAGATGTTTAAACAAACTGTGGTTTTTCAATACTGCCATCTCAGTAAAAAGAGACAAGTGAATGGGACATGTAACAACCTGGGTCAATCTCAAAAACATGATGCTAAGAGAAAGGAAACAGGTACAAAGAATGTATCCTATGTAATTCTATTTGTATGAAATGCTGGAACAGGAAAAACTAATCTTATAGCAGTGGTTCTCAAGTGGACATGGTTTTGCTCCCCAGGGAACATTTGGCAGTGTCTATAGACATTTCTGATTGTCACAACTGAGAAGAGAGAGGGAGAGTTTTATTGGCATCAAGTGGATTGGAGCCAGGGAGGCTGCTAAAAATCCCACAATGCACAGGAAAATCCCCCCCTGGCAAAGAAAAGCAAATTACCCAAAATATTAATAGTGCTAAGACTGAGAAGCCCTGACTTATAGTAACGAAAAAAATTAATGGTAGTATGCAAGTGGGTGGAGAGAAGCTGACTGCAAAAGACAAAGGGAATTAATGTGAGATCATGAGAAAATGTTCTATATTTGATTATGGTGGTGGCGATCTGTGTATGAATATTTCTAAAAATTCAAACTCCTTTCTTAAAACAGATGTATTCTGTTGTATATAGAAATTTTATTATATACACATGTGTATGTAAACAAGTATGTGTATGTAAACAAGTATGTGTATAATTGAAGGTTACTTAAGTGATTGAAATTAAGCATACTAGTACGTTACTAAAATATGAGCAGTTATAGTTCATAATTAGTTATAAAGTCTATATCAGAACTCACTAAGATTTAATTAAAAGTATATGCATGTGTAAAATGATTCACTTACAAGAACTCTAATGACTATATTATGGTAAAGTGTTTTAAAGTATACATTTTTAAAATCCTCATTAATATGTCCTGATAAGAGGTTCTGACTGCTTTCTGAATGAAATACAGGCTCCTGTAATGAAATGAACATTCACTTCTTAAGACTAAATAAGAAAGTAATTTATATTTTCTAGGTGATTAAATATAATAATCCCTTTTAAACTCACAATGCTTTATTTTTATAGCAACCATGTCTACATTCCTCTAAAAGTGCAGTATTATTTCTAGAGACAGAATATAATAAATGATGTCTCAGTATATCCATTCTATATCCAGTTATGATGAAGTCACCATGGAAAACTACCAGTTTGTTTTCCCAAGAAAGGTTTGATTTATCTAATGAGTAAGGTAGAGAAAGAAATAGTCTTCTTCTCTATATTCTTTAAGACCACTATGATTTATAGACAACTATGAAAAATTGGAAGAAGGTAAAAAAAAAAAAAAACAACTACTTTATTCTCTGTCCTTACCACCACTGAGGAAAAGGAAAACAAAAAAGAACACATCAAGTTTCATGTTTAAAAAATCGATTGATAGTTGAAAATATTTCAAAAACTCTAAAATTCTTTGTTATGGTAAGCATTATAATCTTTTTATATTTGGGGATATTATATAATTATTTTCTCAGGTCATACAGGAAAAAAGAGTATATTAAAAATGTAAGATTATTATAGATGATGTAGAAAGAGAGACTATACAGAAAGAACTTCTGTATAGTTCTTTCATTTCAAGGGGAGGGAAACAGTAAGGTCGACATAAATATAAAGGAAAACATGCAATCTACACAGAAAAAGTTTAATAATTACTTTCTAGGATGTCAGTCAGTAATTTTGAGTGCCCATTTTTGAAATAACAACTGACATTTCTAAAGGGAGAAAAAGTAAAATAAAGACTTTATAAACTAGCAAGAGATTCCTAGGCTTAATTTAGATAGCCAACATTGTATTATCCTGAAGTTTATTTTTGTGTTTCTACTTACTTTCTCTTCCTCCATTTAGATTAATGCAGTCAGCATTTCACTTTACTCTTACCATAATAAGCAAGGAAAAACATTGGAGTGGTCCCTGAGAAGCAATTCTACAGAAAACTAATACAAAGAATTTATACATCATTCCATCTATAAATTTGGGAGTATCCAAATTCTGACAAGTCTCTATTTTGTGTGAACAACTGTGGATTAAGGTATGTCATCCATATCTTACATAGATTATTCCTTATTTTGGATTTATCATCCCACGTTTGCTTTTCATTAATATTTGATAACTAAGCACTTACTATGGGAGAAATCGGTGGAAATAAACAAATGAAGAATTAGTCTTCCCTTGTCATCTTACTGCACCTGCACTAGTAGAAGATCTATTTTCTCTGCTATAGATAGATATGACAGTAAAAATACATGAAAACTAAGTTTTACTTATCAAAAGAAAATACTTATTCTGATTTTCTAGTCATCTCAATAGCTGCAGCTCAAGATTTACTACAGAGGGGAAAAACCATAATCTCAGTCATACTACCACTTCCCTCAGTTCATAGGTTGATGTCAAATAAAAGTCAATTACCTTTATCTGCAGAAAATAAATCTTAATTCCAAGGTTAGAAACAATAAGAAAAGAAAAAAGCATGAGAAAATGCCTGACTTGACATAAAGGCCTAGATAAATATTTGATAAAAGACTATATCAACAAAAAGTATTTATAGACTATATGTGTAAGACAGAATACAAAAGGCTTTTAAAATAAGCACACACAATATCTGTCATCATGTTATATTACACTTCATATAGTACCATATTATTTTTCTTTTTTTTTTTTTTGAGACGGAGTCTCGCTCTGTCGCCCAGGCTGGAGTGCAGTAGAGCAATCTCGGCTCACTGCAAGCTCCGCCTCCCGGGTTCACGCCATTCTCCTCCCTCAGCCTCTGGAGTAGCTGGGACTACAGGCACCCGCCACCACGCCTGGCTAATTTTTTTTGTATTTTTAGTAGAGACAGGGTTTCACTGTGTTAGCCAGGATGGTCTCCATCTCCTGACCTTGTGGTCCGCCCGCCTCGGCCTCCCAAAGTGCTGGGATTACAGGAGTGAGCTACCGTGCCCAGCCATACCATATTATTTTTCAAAGAATTTTTACTCATGCCTAGGGGATTCTATTTTTAGTTGATTGGGGGGAATTAGTAATCCTAAATTTTACATAATTCATCACACTTGCAAAGGCAATCCAGTCCAGTCATTCGTTAAATAGGCAATTTTCATTATTTTATCAAAATGCAATTGCAATTACAGTCCATCTCATTCTCCCCTTTTCTCTCTTAAAAAGTTTATTTCCACATACTATGCAGGTAATATTCCAATTTTAAATCTTTACTATTAGAATTGGAGAATGGATTGTCATCAATTTGTAAATGAAATGGCAATAATTCATCAGAGACATGAACGGAGACTTAATTTCTGAAAAGGCAGAAAGTATCAGCAAGAATCAACACCAGTGAATAAGGATATATATCCAATAAGAACAAGAAAAATTGTTAAACAAAATCAGTATAGATTAATGAAAACTATCTTGCTAAATTAAGGATATTGTTCTAGTGAAAAAAATAGACATTTGTAGTTAAGAAGGCTAAATTTCAACATCTTTTAATGCAAAAAAAACCTTAATATCAGCATAAGGTGATAAAATATGTAGGCATCCTAAGATTATAATTATAAAACCCAAGAACTTTTTTACTCACTCACTGAACGCTGCATAGCTCCAGAGACACAGAATATGGTATTCTTGTTCTTTGGCCCCATCTCTGATTTAGAAATGTTATCTATCATTAGTTTTGTTATTAACCAAAATGCATTGCAACAATTTTCTAACTGTTCTATAAACAGTACTTTGCAACTATAAAATATTTAAAATAAACTTTATATATAGTAATACCTACAAAAGGAATACCTTTTCCATTCCCCAAAATATTAATGCATTAACATTGCCAGGGGTTTGTATTTTCACTTGTCTACTTTTATAAAATGCCAAAACTATGCAAATAATACAGATGCAATATAGTGGCTTAGCATCATGGTCTTTACCTAAGAGCATAATATGGTTTTCAAGGACATTTGACTCATACATAGAACCCAATGATTCAAGACATATTTTATACTGAATTCATTCAGAGCTGAAAATTTACAAATGATGAAAAACAAGTTCTAACTAGAATTCGCTTCTGTTTTATATAATATATACCTCCCCCCACCCTGATCTCATTTAATTTGTAGTAAAAAAAATTACATCAGGTTGGGGCAAAAAAAAAAAAAGATACTATAGAGGGATATTTATATTTTACATATTATTAACTTTAAAATGATCTGTTTTCTCATAGAGGAATAATATCATCTGAAACTATCTGGCTAAAAGTATTGGAATGATCTGACTGTAAAGATTTTAATATTATTTGGTATATTACATTAAAAGGAATGATTATAACCATATAACTTACTCTTTTATATAGTATTTGAAAAAGAATATTTTACCAGGCAGAAAATCAATTTCCTATCAGATAAGCAGAAATGTGATGGAGAAGGTAGTCAAGTAAGATACTGAAGCTATAAAAGACTAAATTTGAAGTAATCGCAGACTAAAAGGCTGTACATTTTTTAGTTATTTTTTTCAATTGTGAAAAAATAGGATGTAATGCTAACAATGCACACCTTTTATGTGCCATAAAAATGTAAAGTACCACTTGCTAAATGATGAAATAACTATAATAAAGGTGTCTACTTCATGAATAATATATATGGAAGTCTAACTCAAGAAGCTTTCTAACTGCAAACTTTTGCATACTCTAGAACATGAGTCAAATCAGAGGTTATTCCAAATATGAGTAAAAATTCCTAAATTTACTTTAGATTAGCCTGAACAAAAGTTTTAATGTCCAGTGACAGAGTCGAAGAGAGAGCTTGATAATGGAAAAAATACAGGAGAAAGAAATCCAGCATTGATTATTTACTTTTTCATTCAATAAATATTTATGTACTGCCTACTACTTAAGGCAAACAGCATCTTTGCTTCATAGAAATTACATTTTAGGGTAGTAGACTATACATAAATACATAAACTCACTGTAAGGTACAAATACTCTTAGAGAAATAAACAAAGGTCCAGAGAGAGAAATAAGGAAGAGAAGAAATATATTTTAGATAAGGTGGAGATAACTTCTCTGAAGAAGTGACATTTAGACTAAGCTCAAAAGGTTTAAACAGGACACCCATGGGAAGAGTAGGAATTAGTATTCCAGGAAAAGGGAGTATCAAGAGCAAAGGATCAGAGGCATAAGCCTAATGTCTTTTAAGGAGTGAAGTTTGCAAAGCACTTATCTCAAAAGAAACTTATGTCTAGAATACATAAAGTGCTCTTACAACTCAATTATTAAAAAACAAATAACTCAATTAAAAATGGGCAAAGTGATGGAACAGTCACTCTCAAAGGAAGATACCAAATGGCCAAAAAGCACATGAAAAGTCTTCAGCAAAATACAAATCAAAATCACAATGAGATACCACTTCATAGCCACTGGAATAGTTAGATCAAAAGGTCAGATGAAGAGATATAGAAAATAATTTATGTCAGCTGCTCAAATGATTAAACATAGATTATCATATAATCCAGCGACTCCAATCCTAGGTATACTGAAGAGAAATGAAATGCATGTTCACACAGAAACTTATGCATGAATGTGTAGGAGTTCGGTCAGGGTGGTGGGAAAAGTTGTAAAAAAAAAAAGTTACAGGAAAGACACAAACCTTTTTAAAAAGCCGGAAGGTTTTGCAAAAGCTTTAGGAAAAGGTTATGGCTAAAGGCAGCCTAATCCTCTTACCTTTAGCTAATAGCAAAAAGCAAATAACAAGGGAATGTAGAGGAGTTTATCTAGATAGCTTGTTTACTTATGTTGTCCTAAAACCGACTTTTGATCATTCATGTGCAAGACTGCTCTCTACTCGAGGGGTCAACAATGTTTATTACCGACAAATTGTGTTTGCTCCAAGCCTTTGTCATTAAATCTGTACTAAATAAATGCGAGCATCGCCAGCTTAGGGGGGCTGCAAACTCTTTTTGACCCCTAGTGCCGGCAGTCCCCTAGCCCGCTCTTTCACTGGATACCTTTGTCTAAGTACTCCTTTCATCTGTCACTCAGCCAGTGTCTGCAGGGCAGACTTGGCATGAATGTTTATGCATAAGATCAGAGAAAGGCAATCTAATGCCAAGTGGCATGACTGCCAGTAACCTTGTGAGTCAGCGCCACTTCGGATGTTCTATTGGTCTCATTAGTAGCACTAGAAACATATAAAAAATGACCAGAAAAATTACTCTCCTCTTTAAAGATAGCAGCCTCAACTGAGTAAATATACATCCAAAAGGTTTCTTGATAAAGATAGAAATTCCATGATAGTAAGATAAATAGGATATAGATGTAATTTAGAATGCTGATTATTTTATAGGTCATCCTGAATAAACATTATAAAAGTATTTTTAAGTAATAAAATGGATATAGGAAGCTAGATGGGGAAATAAGAACAACAAACATCTCATCTTCTTGAGATGTGTCTCTGTGATGCTTTCAATGACTGGAGTATGCTATCTAATTCCTCAAGCTATTTTTAATTTTCTATATGGAAGTTCTGAATTTCCCATACTCCTCTGAGAAAGAAGTCCTCATTCTGAGCATGCTGAAATGCAACATAGTAGAGTGGACTAGCCAATGGGGTAATAACTCCCGGGAAATCTAATTTTAGCTCAGAAAAACAAAAACAAAAGAAATTAAATTACTATTTTACTACCTTCCTGTTCCATACAGAAGGGAATTATGAGGCAATCTCCAGTAGTTCACCTTAACAGCTCCTAACATGCTAACTGGTACTTGCTTTTGACCATAGTATGACTATTCTTTTCCACCCAATCTGCTTGCGTCTTCTTTGTCTTTTGCAGAGGCAGTAAGTTATAACACTAGTACATATAACTAGTGCTTATATTATAGTACTAGCTATAACATTAGTACCATAATATAAGTTACAACATTAGTACGTATTATACTACCTATCTATACCCTCAGGTAACAGAGAAATGATATTCTAAGTAGAAATGATATTCTAAGTAGATATTCTAAGTGAATTTTTTGTGTGTGATGATCCATACATATACTCATATACATGTATTCAAGTGTACATATATACACATATGTATACATACATACACAGAGAATGTATAGATCAATAGCTTTTAAATGGCCACTTACATTTTAATATGATGACCCTAAAAATGTTCATAAAGAAAAACAATTGAACCAGATGATGTCTCAAAATTCTTATTTATAGATGAAGAAGAATCATCTAATGGTTAACACTGATGCCAATGAGCTAACAAGAGGCAATCTAACAGATGAGATGCTAACTGTAGCAAACAGAATAAATCTAGAAGCTGGGAGACAAATGAAGAGGATGCCACCATGTGCACACAACCGAAGTGATTTTTTTCCCACAACAATGAAATTATATCCCAAAATTGTGCAGTGCAAATGATGACTAAACTAACACCTTACAAAATCTGTGAATCATTACATGTGAATCACAAAACAAGAATGGAAAGTAGATGACTCTTGCTGTTAAAATAACTTTGGTGTCTTAAATATTGCTACCTTAAGCATAGTATTTTTTAAAGTGCACTATTAATGTTTAGCTTTATTTAACGGTATTTAACCAGACACATACCTGTTAGAAACACATTTAGCTCTATTTTTTTTTTCATTGAGTTCACAGAAAAAGCATCACTCTACTCTCTTAGGTACAAAATGAAGCTGGACATGCTTCTGACTTTCCCATTTTCTGCTAAGAGTATATGGTCAGTGACACAGATATCAGCAATATCAGAATGAGATATTATGAATTGACTAAATCCCTGTAAAAATATCTTCCTAGGCTATCTATTGCTGCCTAGATCATGCTGTCTTCCTTAACAAAACCACAATAATATCAGGATCACTCTTATTATGAGGAAGTATCAGGTACTAGTTTCAAATTGGGAATAATGTCTTATTCAAACACTTGTGCTTTAGAAACAGAAAGAAAGTAAGAGTTCCTATCCAGTATGGTGGGAAAATAAGCAATCAAATAAGGCTTAAGATAGTACTACACTCCCTAAAACAGAGCATATGCCAGTAAAGATGTCACAAATGTGTTAGGCCTTGTAAGCTACAGGGAAGTCACTGAAGGATTTCGATTAGAAGAGTAATATGATCTAACCCATGTTTCAGCAGCATTCCTCTGGCTGCTGTGTTGAGAATAGACTAAACACTTGGCAGGACATTGCAGCAGGTAAGAAATGTGAGTGGTAGTAGATGAGTGAGAGTGGTTTTATTTTAGATATGTAAAGATTTGCTGACAGATTAGATGTGGGGTATAAAGACAGAGACGAGTGCATGAATGCCGTTAGGTTTATTATCTGGAGAACTGGGAGCAAACAGTTGCCATTTCTGAAAGGGGAAAAAATGCCAAAGGAACAAATTTTGGGGGAGTATTAAAAATTTATCTGAGACATGTTAAGTTTGATATATATATTCAACTTACTAGGAGAAATGTCAAGTAGACAGTTTAATACATGAGATATGAGTTCAAGGCAAAGATAAGTATTAGAGATATAAATCTGAGAGCCATCAGCATATTGGATAGTATTTCAGTCATGAGATCCTCACAACAGTAATGCAGCTAGAAAAAAAGAAGACAACTGAGAACTGACTATGGGGCATTCCAAAGTTTAAACGTTAGAGAGATGTGAAAGATCCAACAAATGAGACAAAAGAATTCATCAGAGATGCAGGAGGAAAACCAAACAAGAGTATTTTCTGGAAGTCAAATGAAGAAATTGTTTCAAAAAAGAGGGCAGGTTTGAGTGATACTGCTAGGTAATGAGGACTGAGATCTTACCAGTGGGCTGAAAGCCGGTGGAGTATTAGGGTGAAAGCCTGATTAGCTTACAAGTGGGTCCAAGAGAGAATGGAAAGAGAGTAATGGGAATACTCAGCTAACTCCTTCAAGGAATTCTGAAGTAAAAGGCAGGCCAGAAGTGAGATTTTAGTGAGGGGAAAGTAGTCCAAGAGAAGATATTTTAAATATAAGAGAATAAACACCATGCTTGTTGGCATATCAAAAAGATCAAGTAAAGATGCTCCAAGCCAAAACATGATAATAAAGAGGAAGATCAGGCTTTAAAAAGAGAGAAATCCTATCATTTGTGACAACATGGATGAACCTTGAGGACACTGTGTTTGGTAAAATAACCCAGGCACAGAAAGAAAAACACTCTATATAATCTCGCTTATGTGCAAACTGAAAAATTTAAACTCATAGAAATGGGGCATAGAATGGTTACCAGAAGCTGGAGGGCAGGGTATTGGGGGAGATGGTCCAATGATACAAAATTTCAGTTAAATAAAAGGAATATGTTTTAAGATGTCTATTGTACAACATGGTGACTATGTTATTAACAATGTATTATATATTTGAAAATTGCCAAGAAAGTCATTTTAAATATTATCATCAGAAAAATAAGCATGTGAGATTATGCATATGTTAATTGGCTGAATTTAGCCATTCCACAATGTACACATATTTCAAAACATGTTGTACATGATAAATATATAGAATGCTTATCAATTAAAAAATAAATTAATTTTTAAAATTGCAGTGGTAAAAATCAGGTTCACTCAGGAGACTGGTGATAATATAGAAGTCCCTGGTCAAGGAGATCTACCTGAATAGGATTCAATAACAACCAGAAAAGGGTTAATGGATTAATGGTCTGTATAAAGTTGATGAAAAGTGATATTAAATGACTATATGATTTGCAGAGGTTAAAGAGTAGACATAGGGCAAGTAGAACAGATAGGTGTGGAGGCTCTAGCTGGAGAGAGAAAACAGTTTAAAGCCTTGAAAGTAAACAAAGCTGGGGTAGGCAAGATCAAAAGTGAGGCAATGCTAGTTGAAGACTGATGTGAAGGATGGATGCCTTCCATCATGCTATGCTATAGATGCTAAAAATCAACTGTATTAGGGTTCTCCAAGAAACAGAACCAATAGAATTTGTACATATATAGAAGGAGATTTATTATAAGTAACTGGCTCATGTGATTATAGAGGCTGATGAGTCCAAAATCTACAGTGTTGGCCAGTAGTCTGGAGATCCAGAAATAAGGGAGAAAAGAAAAAGGGAGAACTGCTAGAAGCAAAATCTTTCAGAAGAAACCAGATGGAATGTAGCGCACAAATGGAGAAATTGGTTTTCACAAGTCACACTGGCAGTTCCTTCATGATAATAATAGAAAGCCTAAATTGGCACCGATGTAGTTAAGTGAGTTGATATGCCTCAGGAACACATGGAAGCTCTTTACTGGCTATTTCTATATCATTGATAAAATAGGAAACATGGCTATTAACTAAACGAAGCATGGGGAAGGAGAAGAAGGTTTGAGAAGAGAGAAATTTTGAAAACAGTCATCTAGGAGACTAGAAAAGTAACCTGGAGACACACCATACTGGGTATACTGGCAGCAGTACATTCACGCCTAAGTCAGTCATCTGCAGTTATATTCTGGGTTACACAGAGAAACTATTATTACTCCTTTTCCTGAATCATAGATAAGAGGAGAAAATAAAATTATACTTCTCTGAGCACTGATTCCTAGGAACTAATAATATATTTTTCTACTCAAAAGTGTTCATTTAACCTAATTTTCTCATTTGTATTTTTTAAATTTTAGATTCAGGGGAAATATGTACAGGGTTGCTATATGGGTATATTGAGCGACAGTGAGGTTTGGGATACAGATGGTCCTGTCACCAGGGTGATGAGCACAGCAGCCAACAGCAGCTTTTCATCCCATGCTCCCCCTTCCTCCCTCCATCACCCTATCTAGTAGTCCCTAGTGTATATTGTTTCTATCTTTATGTGTATGTGTTTTCAATGTTTAGCTCCCACTTATGAGAATATGCAGTATTTGGTTTTCTGTTCTTGCATTAATGCACTTAGAATAATGGCATCCAGCTGCATCCATGTTGCTGCAAAGGACATGATTTCATTCCTTTTTATGGCTGTGTAGTATTCCATGGTGAATATGCACCATATTCTCTTTATCCAATCCACAATTGTTGGGCACCTATGTTGATTCCATGTCTTTGCTATTGTGAATAGCTGCAATGAAAACACGAGTGCATGTGTGTTTTTGATAGAATGAGTTATTTCCTTTGGATATATAGTCAGTAGTGGGATTGCTAGGTTGAAGGGCAGTTCTGTTTTAAGTTCTTTGAGAAATCTCCAGAATGCTTTCCACAGTGGCTGAACTAATTTGCATTTGCACCAAAAGTGTGTAAGTGTTCTCTTTTCTCGGAAGCCCTGCCAACATCTGTTATTTTTTGACTTTTAAATTATTGCCATTCTGACTGGTGAGAGATGGTATCTGTTGATTTGGTTGCATTTATCTGATGATTAGTGATGGTGAGCATTTTTAATATTTTTTTATTTTTTTATTTTTTTTGAGACGGAGTCTTGCTCTGTCACCCAGGCTGGAGTGCAGTGGTGCAATCTCGGCTCACTGCAAACTCCACCTCCCGGGTTCACGCCATTCTCCTGCCTCAGCCTCCTGAGTAGCTGGGACTACAGGTGCCTGCCACCACACCTGGCTAATTTTTTTGTATTTTTAGTAGAGACAGGGTTTAACCATGTTAGTCAGGATGGTCTTGATCTCCTGATCTCAGGATCGGCCTGCCTCGGCCTCTCAAAGTGCTGGGATTACAGGCGTGAGCCACCGCGCCCAGTCTCATATTATTTTTGTAACTTGTATGTCTTTTTTTTTTTTTTTGAGAAGTATCAGTCCATGTCCTTTGCCCATTTTTTAATTGGAATATTTGTTTGTTGGTTGGTTTTATTATACTTTAAGTTCTGGGATACATGTGCAGAACGTGCAGGTTTGTTACATAGGTATACATGTGCCATGGTGGTTTCCTGTACCCATCAACCTGTCATCTACATTAGGTATTTCTCCTAATGCTATCCCACCCCTTGCCTCCCAACCCCCGACAGGCCCCAGTGTGTGATGTTCCCCTCCCTGTGCCCATATGTTCTCATTGTTCAATTCCCACTTACGAGTGAGAACATGCAGTGTTTGGTTTCCTGTTCCTGTGTTAGTTTGCTGAGAATAATGGTTTCCAGCTTCATCCCTGTCCCTGAAAAGGACATGAACTAATTTTTTTTTATGGTTGCATAGTATTCCATGGTGTACATATGCCACATTTTCTTTATCAAGTCTATCACTGATGGGCATTTGGGTTGGTTTCAAGTCTTTGCTATTGTGAACAGTGCTGCAATAAACATACGTGTGCATGTGTCTTTATAACAGAATCACTTAAAATCCTCTGGGTATATACACACTAATGGAATTGCTGGGTCAAATGCTATTTCCAGTTCTATATCCTTGAGGAATTGCCACACCATCTTCCACAACGGTTGAAGTTTACACTGTGACCAACAGTGTAAAAGCGTCCCTATTTCTTTTTTTTTTAGATGGAGTCTCGCTCTGTCACCTGGGCTGGAGTATAGTGGCACTATCTCAGCTCACTGCAGCCTCTGCCTAGCAGGTTGCAGCAATTCTCCTGCCTCAGCCTCCCGGGTAGCTGGGATTACAGGCATGTGCCACCATGCCCAGCGAATGTTTGGATTTTTAGTAAAGATGTGGTTTCACCATGTTGGCCAGGCTGGTGTTGAACTCCTGACCTCAGGTGATCTGCCTGCCTCAGCCTCCCAAAGTGAAAAGCAGTCCTATATCACCACATCCTCTCCAGCATCCATTGTTACCTGACTTTTTAATGATCACCATTCTAACAGGCATGAGATGGTATCTCACTGTGGTTTTGATTTGCATCTCTCTAATGGCCAGTGATGATGAGCTATTTTTTTTCATGTTTATTGGCTGCATAAATGTCTTCTTTTGAAAACTGTCTGTTCATATCCTTTGCTCACTGTTTGATGGGGTTGGTTTTTTTCTTGTAAATTTGTTTAAGTTCTTTGTAGATTCTGGGTATTATTATCCGTTGTCAGATGGATAGATTGAAAATTTTTTCTCCCATTCTGTAGGTTGCCTGTTCACTCTGATGATAGTTTCTTTTGCTGTGCAGGAACTCTGTAGTTTAATTAGATCCCATTTGTCAATTTTGGCTTTTGCTGGAATTGCTTTTGGTGTTTTAGTCATGAAGTCTTTGCCCATGTCTATGTCCTGAATGGTATTGCCTAGGTTTTCTTCTGGGGTCTTTACGGTTTTAAGTCTTACATTTAAATCTTTAATCTATCTTGAGTTAATCTTTGTATAAGTTATAACAAAGGGGTCCAGTTTCATTTTTTGGCATATGGGGTCCAGTTTTCTCAATACCATTTATTAAATAGGGAATCCTTTCCCCATTTCTTGTTTTTGTCAGGTTTGTCAAAGATCAGATGATTGTAGATGTGTAGTGCTATTTCTGAGGCCTCTGTTCTGTTCCATTGGTCTATATATTTGTTTTGGTACCAGTACCATGCTGTTTCAGTTACTGTAGCCTTGTAGTATAGTTTGAAGTCAGGTAGCATGATGCCTCCAGCTTTGTTCTTATTGCTTAGAATTGTCTTTGCTATACGGGCTCTCTATCGGTTCCACATGAAATTTAAAGTACATTTTTTTAGTTCTGTGAAGAAAGTCAATGGTAGCCTGATGGGAATAGCATTGAATCTATAAATTGCTTTGGGCAGTATGGCCATTTTCATGATATTGATTATTCCTATGCATGAGCATGGAATGTTTTTCCATTCGTTTGTGTCCTCTCTTATTTCCTTAAGCAGTGGTTTGTAGTTCTCTTTGAAGAGATCCTTCACATCCCTTGTAAGTTGGATTCCTAGGTATTTTATACCCTCTCTTGCTAGACTGCCCTGGCCAAAACTTCCAACACTATGTTGAATAGGATTGGTGAGAGAGGGCATCCTTATCTGTGCCAGTTTTCAAAGGGAATGCTTCCAAATTTTGCCCATTCAGTATGACATTGGCTGTGGGTTTCTCATAAATAACTCTTATTATTTTGAGATACGTTCCATCAATTCCTAGTTTATTAAAAGTTTTTAGCATGAAGGGGTGTTGCATTTTATCAGACTTTCCTGCATCTATTGAGATCATCAATGTTTTTGTCTGTTCTGTTTATGTGATGGATTATATTTATTGATTTGCATATGTTGAACCAGCCTTGCATCCCAGGGATGAAGCCGACTTGATTGTAGTGGATAAGCTTTTAATATGCTGCTGGGTTCAGTTTGCCAGTATTTTATTGAGGATTTTTACGTCGATGTTCATCAAGGATATTGGCCTGAAATTTTATTTTTGTTGTGTCTCTGCCAGGTTTTGGTATCAGGATGATGCTGGCCTCATGAAATGAGTTGGGGAGGAGTCCTTCTTTTTCTATTGATTGGAATAGTTTCAGAAGGAATGGGTACCAGCTCCTCTTTGTACCTCTGGCAGAATTTGGCTGTGAATCCATCTGGTCCTGGGCTTATTTTGGTTGGTAGACTATTAATTATTGCCTCAATTTCAGAACTTGCTATTGGTCTATTCAAGGATTCAACTTCTTCCTGGTTTAGTCTTGGGAGGGTGTATGTGTCCAAGAATTTATCAATTTCTTCTAGATTTTCTAGTTTATTTGCATATAAGTGTTTATAATATTCTCTGTCGGTAGTTTGTATTTCTGTGGGATCAGTGGTGATATCCCCTTTATCATTTTTTATTGTGTCTATTTGATTCTTCTCTTTTTTCTTCTTTAGTAGTCTGGCTAGTGGTCTATCTATTTTGTTAATCTTTTCAAAAAACCAACTCCTGGATTCATTGATTTTCTGAAGGGTCTTTTCTGTCTCTATCTCCTTCAGGTCTGCTCTGATCTTAGTTGTTTCTTGTCTTCTGCTAGCTTTTGAATCTGTTTGCTCTTGCTTCTCTAGTTCTTTTAATTGTGATATCAGGGTGTCGATTTTAGGTCTTTCCCACTTTCTCTTGTGGGCATTTAGTGCTATAAATTTCCCTCTAACACTGCTTTAGCTGTGTCCCAGAGATTCTGGTACATTGTGTCTATTCTCATTGGTTTCAAAGAATTTACTTGTTACTGCCTAAATTTTATTATTTACCCAGTAGTCATGCAGGAGCAGGTTGTTCAGTTTCCATGTAGTTGTGCGGTTTTGAGTGAATTTCTTAATCCTGAGTTCTAATTTGATTGCACTGTGGTCTGAGAGACTGTTTATTATGATTTCCATTCTTTTGGATTTGCTGAGGAGTGTTTTACTTCTAATTATGTGGTTGATTTTAGAATAAGTGCTATGTGGTGCTGAGAAGAATGTATATTCTGTTGATTTGGGGTGGAGAGTTCTGTAGATGTCTATTAGATCTGCTTGTTCTACAGCTGAGTGCAAGTCCTGAATATTCTCGTTAATTTTCTGTCTCGATCAACTGTCTAATATTGACAGTAGGGTGCTAAAGTCTCCCACTATTATTGTGTGTGAGTCTAAGTCTCTTTGTAGGTCTCTAAGAACTTGCTTTATGAATCTAGGTGCTCTTGTATTGGGTGCACATATATTTAGGATAGTTAGCTCTTCTTGTTGCATTGATTCCTTCACCATTATGTAATGCCCTTCATTGTCTTTTTTGATCTTTGTTGGTTTAAAGTCTGTTTTATCAGAAACTAGGATTGCAACTCCTGCTTTTTTATGCTTTCCATTTGCCTGGTAAATCTTCGTCCATGCCTTTATTTTGAGCCTATGTGTGTCTTTGTATATGAGATGGGTCTCCTGAATACAGCACATTGATGGGTCTTAACTCTTTATCCAATTTGCCAGTCTGTGTCTTTTAATTGGGGCATTTAGCTTGTTTACAGTTAAGGTTAATATTGTTATGTGTGAATTTGTTTCTGTCATTATGATGCTAGCTGGTTATTTTGCCCATTAGTTGGCGTAGTTTCTTCACAGTGTTGATGGTCTTCACATTTTGGTTTGTTTTTGCAGTGGCTGGTACTGGTTTTTCCTTTCAATATTTAGTGCTTTCTTCAGGAGCTCTTGTAAGGCAGGCCTGGAGTGACAAAATCCCTCAGCATTTGTTTGTCTGTAAAGGATTTTATTCTTTCTTCACTTATGAAGCTTAGTTTAGCTGGGTATGAAATTCTGGTTGAAAATTATTTTCTTAAGAATGTTGAACATTGGCCTCCACTCTCTTCTGGCTTGTAGGGTTTCTGCAGAGAGATCTGCTGTTAGTCTAATGGGCTCCTCTTTGTGGGTAACCTGACCTTTCTCTCTGACTGCCTTAAAATTTTTTCCTTTATTTCAACCTTGGTGATTCTGTCGATTATGTGTCTTGGGGTTGCTCTTCTCAAGGAGCATCTTTGTGGTGTTCTCTGTATTTCCTGAATTTGAATGTTGGCCTGTCTTGCTAGGTTGGGGAAGGGTTCTCCTCGGTAATATCCTGAAGAGTGTTTTCCAACATGGTTCCATTCTCCCCATCACTTTCAGGTACACCAATCAAATGTAGGTTTGGTCTTTTCTCATAGTCTCATATTTTTTGGAGGCTTTGTTCATTCCTTTTCATTCTTTTTTCTCTAATCTTGTCTTCATGCTTTATTTCATGAAGCTCATCTTCAATCCCTGATACACTTTCTTCCGCTTGATTGATTTGGCTACTGATACTTGTGTATGCTTCACAATTTTCTCGTGCTGTGTTTTTCAGTTCCATCAGGTCACTTATGTTCTTCTCTTAACTGGTTAGTCTAGTAGCAATTCCTGTAACCTTTTATCAAGGTTCTTAGCTTACTTGCATTGGATTAGAAAGTGCTCCTTTAGCTTGGAGGAGTTTGTTATTACCCACCTTCTAAAGCCTACTGTCAATTTGTCAAACTCATTCTCTGTCCAAAGTTTTGTTCCCTGGCTGGAGAGGAGTTGTAATCCTTTGCAGGAGAAAAGGTGTTCTGGTTTTTGGACTTGTTGGCTTTTTTTTACTGGTTTTTCCTCACCTTTGTGGATTTATCTACCTTTGGTCTTTGCTATTGGTGACCTTGGGATGGAGTTTTTGCGTGGTCCTTCTTGATGTTGATGCCATTGCTTTCTGTTTGTTAGTTTTCCTTCTAACAGACCCCTCTTCTGCACATCTGCTGGAGTTTGCTGGGAGTCCACTCCAGGCCATGTTTGCCTGGGTATCACCATTGGAGGTTGCAGAACAGCAAAGATTGCTGCCTGTTCCTTCTTATGGAATCTTCGTCCCAGAGGGGCACCCACCAGATGCCAGCTGAAGCTCTCCTGTATAAGGTGTCTGTTGAACCCTGCTGTGAGGTTTCTCCCCATCTGGAGGTATGGGGTCAGGGACCCACTTGAGGAGGCAGTCTGTCCCTTACCAGAGGTCAAGCACTGTGCTTGGAGATCCACTCCTCTCTTCAGAGCCAGCAAGCAGGAACGTTTAAGTCTGCTGTAGCTGCACCCACAACCGCCCCTTCCCCCTGGGGCTCTGTCCCATGGAGATGCGAGTTTTATCTATAAGCCCCTGACTGGGGCTGCTGCCTTTCTTTCAGAGATGCCCTGCCCGGAGAGGAGGAATCTAGAGAGGCAGTGTGGCTACAGGGGCTTTGAGGCACTGAGGTGGGCTCCACCCAGTCCTAATATCCAGGTGGCTTGTTTTACATTGTGAGGGGAAAACCACCACTCAAGCCTTAATAAGGTGGATGCCCCTCCCACCACCAAGCTTGCGTATACCAGGTCGACTTCAGACTGCTGTACTGTCAGTGAGAATTTCAAGCCAGTAGATCTTAGCTTGCTGGGCTCCATGGGGGTAGGATCTGCTGGGCAAGACCACTTGGATCCCTGGCTTCAGCCCCCTTTCCAGGGAAGTGAATGGTTCTGTCTTGATGGCATTCCAGGAGACACTAGGGTACAAAAAAAAAAAAAAAACCTCCTGCACCTAGCTTGGTGTCTGTCCAAATGGCTGCACAGTTTTGTGCTTGAAACCTTGTGGTGTAGGCACCCAAGGGAATCTCCTAGTCTCTGGGTTGCGAAGATGGTGGGAAAAGCGTAGTACCTGGACTGGATAGCACCGTCCCTCATGGCACAGTCTCTAATGGCCTCCCTTGGCTAGGGGAGGGAGTTCCCCAAACTCTTGAGCTTCCTAGGTGAGAACAGAGCTACCCTGCTTCTGTTCACCCTCCGTGGGCTTCACCCACTGTCTAACCAGTCCCAGTGAGATGAACCAGGTACCTCAGTTGGAAGTGCAGAAATCACCCGCCTTCTGCATTGGTCTCACTGGGATCTGAGGACTGGAGCTGTTCCTATTACGCCATCTTGTCAGGGAATCAGATTATTTGTTTTTTACTTGTTGATTTGTTCAAGGCCCTGTTAGATTCTTGATATTAGCTCCCTACCTTACCATATACAAAAATTAACTCAAGATGGATTAATGATTTACATTTAAGATCTCAAACTATAAAATTCCTAGAAGAAAATCTGGAAAACACCCTTCTCGACATAGGCTTTGGCAAAAAACTTATGGCTAAGTTCCCAAAAGCCATTGTAACAAAAACAAAAATTGATAAGTGCAACCTAATTAAAGAGTTTCTGCACAGCAAAAGTAATTACCAACAGAGTAAACAGACAACCTGCAGAATAGGAGAAAATGTTCACAAACTATTCATCTGAAAAAGGTCTAATAGTAAGTGTGTAGGCTTGTTTCTGGGTTCTCTATTCTGTTTTATTGGTCTATGTGTCTGTTTCTGCACCAGTACCATGCCATGTTGGTTACTTTCACCTTATAGTATAGTTTGAAGTCAGGTAATGTGATGCCTCCAACTTTGTTGTTTTTACTTAGTATTGCTTTGGTATTCCAGCTCTTTTTTGGTTCCATATGAATTTCAGAATACATATTTCTAATTCTGTGAAAAATGATATTGGTATTTTAATAGGGATAGCACTGAATCTATAAATTGCTTTGGGAAGTATGGCCATTTTAACAATATTGATTCCTACAATCCATGAGCAGAAATATTCTTCCATTTATTCATGTCATCTCTGATTTCTTTCAGCAATGTTTGTAGTTCTCCTTGTAGAACTACTTCCCATCATTAGTTAGATGCATTCCTAGGCTTTACTGTGTGTGGGTGTGTGTGTGGCTATAGCAAATGGGATTATGTTCTTGATTTGGCTTTCAATCTATACTGTTGTATAGAAAAGCTGACTTTTGTTCATTGATTTTTTATCTTGAAATTTTACTGAAATCATTTATCATTCCTAGGGTCCTTTTATTAGAATCCTAGGGTTTTCTATGTATAGAATTGTATCATCAGCAAGGGGAGATAGTTTAACTTCTTCTTTTCCTATTTGGATGCTTTTTCTTTCTTTCTCTTGCCTAATTGTTCTAGCAAGCACTTTCAGTACTATGTTGAACAAGTGTAGTGAGAGTAGGCATAGTTGTCTTTTTTCAGTTCTCAAAGGGAATGATTCCACTTTTTACCCATTCAGTATAATGCTGTGATGTTAGCTGTGGATTTGTCATAGATGGCTCTTATTATTTTGAGATATGTTCCTTTATGCCTAGCCTATTGAGGGTTTTTATCATGAAGAGATGTTGGATTTTACTGAGGGCTTTTTCTGTGTCTATTGAAACGGTAATGTAGTTTTTGTTTTTTATTCTGTTTATGTGGTGAATCACATTCATTGATTTGCATATGATGAACCAAACTTGCATCTCAGGAATAAACTCTAACTTGTGGTGAATTAACTTTTGCTGCTGGATAAAAATATGCTGCTGGATTTCATTTACTAGTATTTTGCTGAAATTTTTTTTGCCTATGTTCATCAAGAATATTTGGCCTAAAGTTTCTTTTTTTGTTGTCTCTGTCAGAGTTTGGTATCAGGATAATATTGGCTTTGTAAAATAAGTTATAAAGAAGCTCCTCCTCTTCAACTTTTTGGAATAGTTTCATAAGGATTGCTATCAGTTCTTTATACATCTAGTAGAATTCTGTATGAATCCATCTGGTCCCAGGCTTTTTTTTTTTGGTTGTTAGGCTTTGTATTACTGATTCAGTTTTGAAATTTGTTATTGGTATGTTCAGAATTTTACTTTCTTCCTGGTTCAATCTTAGGATATCATGTTTTCAGGAACTTATCAATATCCTATAGACTTTCTAATTTGTGTGCATTGAAGTGTTCATAATAGTCTCTTTGTATTTTGATCTTTTGTATTTCTGTGGGATCAGTTGTAATGTCATTTTTGTCATTTTTGACTGTGCTTATTTGGATCTTCTTTTTTTTTTCTTTGTTAATCCAGCTAGCAGTCTATCTATCTTGTTTTTCCTTTTAAAAAATCAATTATTGGTCTCACTTATCTTTTTTATGGATGTTTGTGTCACAATTTCATTCAGTTTTCTTTGATTTTAATTATTTATTTTCTTTTGCTAACTCTGGAGTCAGGTGGGTTTTTTTTCCATTTCCTCTAGGTATGATGTTAGATCATTAATTTAAGGTCTTTCTAACCTCTTGATGAAAGCCATAGGACTATAAACTTATCTCTTAGCACAAATTTAGCTGCATCCCAAAGATGTTAGTAAGTTGCATCTCTACTTTGATTAGTTTCAAAGAAAGTTTTTATTTCTGACTTAATTTCATTGTTCACTCAAGGGTTATAAAGAGCTAGTTGTTTAATTTCCATGTTTTTGTGTAGTTTTGAGAAATCTTCTTAGTATTAATTTCCATTTTTATGGCACTGTGGTCTGAGAGTGTGCTTGGCATCATTTTTAAAAATTCACTGAGATTTGTTTTATGGCCAAGCATATGGTCAATCACAGAATATGTTGCATGTGTAGAAGACAAGAATGTATATTCTATCATTGTTAGGTGGAGTATTCTTTGGATACTTATTAGGTCTACTTCACCAAGTGTCAAGTTTAATTCCACAATATCTTTGTGGAATTTTCTGCCTCAGTGATCTGCCTAATGTTGTCAATGGGGTGTTGAAGTCCATCACTATAATTTAGGGGCTATATAAGTCTTTTCCAGTGTCAAGAAAAACTTGTTTTGTGAATCTGAGTGCTCTAATGTTGAGTGCATACATATGTAGGATAGCTAAGTCTTCTTGTTTACTTGAACACTTTATCATTATGTTATGGCCTTCTTTATTCTTCCTGGTTGTTGTTGGTTAAAAGTCTATTTTATCTGATACAAGAACTGCAACACCTGCTCTTTTATGTTTTCCATTTGTGTGGTTGTTTTTCTGCATCCCTTTGAGCCTGTGAGTGCCATTACATGTGAGATGTGTCTCTTGAAGACAGCAGACAGTTGGGTCTTATCTTTTTATCCAGCTTGCCACTCTATGCTTTTTAAGTGGGGTGTTTAGGCCAGTTACATTCAGGGTATTAGTACTGATATGTGAGATTCTGATCCTGTCATTCGGTTGGCAGTTGGTTGTTTTATAGACTTGATGGTGTAATTCCTTTATACTGTCTGTGAGTTATGTGCTTTAGTGTGTCTTTGCGGTAGCAGGTTTTGATCTTCCATTTCCATGTTTAGCACTCTCTTAATGACCTCTTGTAAGGCTGGTCTGGTAGTAATGAATTCCCTTAGTAGTTGCTTATCTGAGAAGGATTTTATATTTCCTTTACCCTGAAGCTGAGTTTGGTGGGATATTAAATTCTTGGTTGAAATTTCTTTACCTTAAAAATGCTGAAAATAGGCCTCCAATCTCTTCTGGCTTTAAGGTTTCTGCTGAAAAGTCTGTTGCTAGCATGATGAGGTTCCCTTTGTAGGTGACCCAACCTTTCTCTCTAGCTGCCTTTAAGTTTTTTCTTTTGCAATGATTTTGGTAAATCTGATGATGATGTGCCTTGGGGATCGTCATCCTGTATAGTATCTTGCAAGTGATCTCTGTATTTCTTAAATTCTTGTGTCTACATCTCTAGCAAACTTGGGAAAATTTTGATGGACTTCAAATGTTTTCCAAGTTACTTACACTCTCTCCTTCCCTCTCAAGAATGCAAATGAGTCATAGATTTGGTCTCTTTACATAATCTCATATTTCTTGGAAGTTTTGTCACTTTTAAAAATTATTTTTTCTTTGTGTCTGACTTAGTTGATTCAAGAACCAGTCTTCAAGCTTTGAGATTCTTTCCTTAGCTTGGTCTATTCTGCTATTAATACTTCTGACTATGCTTTAGGACTAATTATGAAATTCTTAAGGTGAATTATTCAATTCCAGAGGTTCAGTTTAGTTCTTTCTTGAAATGGTTATTTTTTCTTTTAGCTCCTGGATCATTGCACTGGATTCCTTGGATTTCTAGGACTGGGTTTCAACTTTCTCCTGGATCTCAATGATCTTCCTTACCAGCCAGATTCTGAATCCTAGGTCTGTCATTTCATTCCTTTCAATATGGTTAAGAACCACTGCTGGGAAACTAGTGCATTTGGTTGGAGGTAAGAGGACACTCCAGCTTTTTGAATTGCCATGTGGAGTGCTGGTGTTCCTTTAACTGTGAGGTAAGTTGAGTATACTCAGTTGGCTTTGTTTCTGGGTGCTTTCAGAGAGCTACAAC
Organism: Homo sapiens; assembly: GCF_000001405.40. Taxonomy (NCBI): domain Eukaryota; kingdom Metazoa; phylum Chordata; class Mammalia; order Primates; family Hominidae; genus Homo; species Homo sapiens. The sequence continues at coordinate 121,158,684 of NC_000006.12, forward strand.
CCTATACAGAAACTTTATTTGTGGCTGAATTTTTGCCTTAAGTGTCACAGGCACTGTATACTGGCAAAATGTTTTTGGTGTTGTAATTTGGGCTTCTATCCAGTAGGTAGAGTTTAAGAGTGGTGGCCTGCAGATAGGCCATGTAGCTTCATCTTTCATCTTAGAATTCTCTAGCCTAAAAATTCTGTTTGAATTTTAGTGGCTCATAAGATAATGTCTAAACACCTGAGTTTGATCTCCACTGGTCTTATGGCTGGGCTTACATGTTCAGTCTTACTTCCTGTCACTCTTGCTGTCACATTCCAAATCTCAGACATTGTTCAACTACCACAGTTCTCTGACTATAACTTGCTTCTTCCAGCCCCTCTGCTTTTTCCTCTGCCAAAAAGAAAAAATGCTCTTCTCTTACTCAGAAAATAAATATTTAAACTACATGCCTCATTATATACATATTCTTCTTTGGAAGAGTATCCTGCTTATGGACTATCCTAGCAGGCTATACATTTTTCTATTTAGTTCCCATCACATTGTACTGCTATACAATTATCTAATTATTTGAATGCATTCTGTAAGAGTTCATGACTCCACAAAGGTGGGAACCATAATCTTCACTAATTTCAGTTGTTGAGTATACAAGACCTGTGTATAGCACATAGCAGTTACTAAAAATTACTACTCTGTTGATACATACCTAGAATTAATTGCACAAATCAAAGACCATTACTTTTTTTTTAATCAAACAGCTGTTGCTACTGGACAGATCAGCTACAGCTTAGCAACAAGAAATAAGAATAATTAGCCTCATACAAATAGTCATGCATTGCTTAATATAATGAGAATACATTCTGAGAATTGCATCCTCAAGCAATTTTGTCACTTTGTGAACACTGTAGAGTGATCTTACACAAACCTAGAGGGTATAGTCTAACTCTACACCTAGGCTACACGGTGTAGCCTATTGCTCCTAGGCTACAAGTCTATACAGCATGTTACTGTACTGAATACTGTAGGCAATTATAGCACAATGGTATTGTGCATCTAAACATATTTAAAGATTTTAAAAGGTACAGTAAAAATGTGGTATAATAATCTTATAAGACCACCTTTGTATACTTGGTCCATCATTAACCAAAATGTCATTATGCAGTGCATGACTGTACCAAGTTAGTAAGAAACATGAGGAAAAAAATACAAAGAAATAGGCATAAATGCACACATGTATACATGCTAAATGCAGTCAATATTCATCTTCCTTAATATTTTCTTTTTTTCAAATTATAACAAAAGCTTTAAAAATAATATGGCATTTGATGGTAAATATTTTACCTTGTTTTATACCAGCATTTCTTGTAATGTCTGACAGATAGCAGTTTGGCAATGGATATGATGAAAACATTGGCCAAGGATATGGATTATCACTCTAAAAAAGAAGCAAGACAGATGACTTTAGGAAGTGGTCTAAAATAATATTGAATTTTAAAGCTATCTGAAATATTGTTAACTTAAACTGGCTTTTCTTGCTCATAAATTCTGCAGTTGTTGCCCAGTTAACCAAAAGCTATTTGATACTATACTTCAATATTCCAATGGGTAATACTTAAAACAAGCTGTAACAGAAACAATATTAAATTAGTACTGAGGACAAACATATGGTAACTTGTAGTAAGCAGAATTGATAATGATAAATTTACTGTGTTTTTTTTCATAAAAGGAAAATTGTAATCTTCAAAAGAAACCTGTGGTTTTTTCCACAAAACTTTTTCTCGTGCTGTCAGTCATTTCTATCTTATCTTTCCGAGAGTGACAGTCAAAGCAAGAAGGTTCTTAACAACAATGAAAACAAATGAAAAACCTTCATGAGAAACCCATACTTGAATACTGATGGAAGGAGAGGTACTCAATGTTTCCAATAAAATAAAAAATAATGTCATTTAATAATAAAAGTTAAGTATCATGAATGAGAAAGACATTGAAAGTAAAATATTCAAAGGCGCATAAGAAAAATAACTTTTTAATAAAACAATACCTACTCTACTACACATGCAAACAATACATACCCTACTTTAGCATTCATGACCCTTAGACATCAAAAATATTATTTTAGTTTGAAAGTATTTATTTGCATCCTAAATATTCTCAAGTAATAAGTTCAACTCTGTGATGTAGACATTTAAGAGGTAAAGTTTAGGGTGACTTTGAGTTGGCTATCTTGCTTCAAAATATGTCAGAAAAACACATCCCACTTCTCTTTGCCCCACACTCACCTTTTCGAGTAACCTCGGAGGCAAAATCCGTTCCAATGGCCCACCAACAAGATTTATTCTAACAAGAACATGATTTCTCTCCACTGATAAGCCATCAATTATAAAGTCCCTGAAAAAATAAATATATCACCTTTGTCATCCTTTTGATTGAATATGTGTTAATTTTTAAATCAAGTCTCTGGATTGTAAAGAAAAAAGGCAAAAATATTTATCAATCTATTTCTTTTTCTTTACTGCATTTAGCATTTATATAATTTTATTAAGTTCAGGGTACCTGTGCAGGATGTGCAGGTTTGTTACATAGGCAAACGTGTGCCATGGTGGTTTGCTGCACAGATCATCCCATCACCCAGGTATTAAGCCCAGCATCCATGAGCTATTCTTTCTGATGCTCTCCCTCCTCCCCAGCTTCACCCTCTAACAGGCCCCAGTGTGTGTTGTTCCCCACCATGTGTCCATATGTTCTCATCATTCAGCTCCCACTTATAAGTGAGAACATAGAGTATTTGGTTTTCCATTCCTATATTAATTTGCTGAGGATAATGGCCTCCAGCTCCATTCATGTCCCTGCAAAGGACATGATCCTTTCTATAGCTGCATAGTATTACATGCTGTATATGTATCACATTTTCTATCATTGATGGGCATTTGTGTTGATTCCGTGTCTTTGCTATTGTGAATAGTGCTGCAATGAACATAAGTGTGCCTGTATTTGTCTAATAGAAGGATTTATATTATTTTGGGTATATACCCAGTAATGGGATTGCTGGGTCAAATGCTATTTCTGTCTTCAGGTCTTTGAGGAATTGCCACACTGTCTTCCACAACGGTTGAACTAATTTACACTCCCAACAGTGTAAAAGCATTCTTTTTTCTCCACAACCATGCCAGCATCTGTTGTTTTTTGACTTTTTAATAATAGCCATTCTGACTGGTGCGAGATGATATCTCATTGTGGTTTTCATTTGCATTTCTCTAATGATCAGTGATGTTAAACTTTTTTTCATATGTTTGTTGGCCACATGTATGTCTTCTTTTGAGAAGCATCTGTTCATGTCCTTTGCCCACTTTTTAATGGGACTGTTTGCTTTTCTCTTGTAAATTTGTTTACATTCCTTGTACATGCTGGATATTAGGTGTTGTTAGATCTTTGTCAGATGGCCAGATTGCAAAAAGTCTTCCCTATTCTATAGGTTGTCTGTCCACTCTGATGATAGTTTATTTTGTTGTACAGAAGCTTTTTAGTCTAATTAGATCCCATTTGTCAGTTTTTGTGTTTGTTGCCATTGCTTTTGGCATCTTCCTCATGAAATCTTTGCCCATGACTATGCCCTGAATGGTATTGCCTAGATTTTCTCCAAGGGTTTTTATAGTTTTGGGTTTTGGGTTTACATTGAAGTATTTAATCCACCTTGAGTTGATTTTTGTATACAATGTAACTGAAGGAACGTATCACAAAATAATAAGCACCATATATGACAAACCCACAGACAGTATCATACTAAATGAGCAAAAGCTGTGAGCATTAGCCTTGAAAACTGGCACAAGACAAGGATAGCTTCTCTCACCACTCCTATTAAACATAGTATTGGAAATTCTAGCCAGGGCAATCATGCAAGAGAAAGAAATCAAGTGCATTCAAACAGAAAGAGAGGAAGTCAAACTATATTTGTAGATGACATGATGCTATATCTAGAAAACCCCATCATCTCAGCCCAAAAGCTTCTTAAGCTGACAAGCAAAGTCTCAGGATACAAAATCAACATGCAGAGCCAAGATGGCCGAATAGGAACAGCTCCAGTCTACAGCTCCCAGCGTGAGCGACGCAGAAAACAGGTGATTTCTGCATTTCCATCTGAGGTACCGGGTGCATCTCACTAGGGAGTGCCAGACAGTGGGCGCAGGCCAGTGTGTGTGCGCACCGTGCGCGAGCCGAAGCAGGGCGAGGCATTGCCTCACCTGGGAAGCGCAAGGGGTCAGGGAGTTCCCTTTCCGAGTCAAAGAAAGGGGTGACGGACGCACCTGGAAAATCGGGTCACTCCCACCCGAATATTGCGCTTTTCAGACCGGCTTAAGAAACGGCGCACCACGAGACTATATCCCACACCTGGCTCAGAGGGTCCTACGCCCACGGAATCTCGCTGATTGCTAGCACAGCAGTCTGAGATCAAACTGCAAGGCGGCAACGAGGCTGGGGGAGGGGCGCCCGCCATTGCCCAGGCTTGCTTAGGTAAACAAAGCAGCCGGGAAGCTCGAACTGGGTGGAGCCCACCACAGCTCAAGGAGGCCTGCCTGCCTCTGTAGGCTCCACCTCTGGGGGCAGGGCACAGACAAACAAAAAGACAGCAGTAACCTCTGCAGACTTAAGTGTCCCTGTCTGACAGCTTTGAAGAGAGCAGTGGTTCTCCCAGCACGCAGCTGGAGATCTGAGAACGGGCAGACTGCCTCCTCAAGTGGGTCCCTGACCCCTGACCCCCGAGCAGCCTAACTGGGAGGCACACTGACACCTCACACGGCAGGGTATTCCAACAGACCTGCAGCTGAGGGTCCTGTCTGTTAGAAGGAAAACTAACAACCAGAAAGGACATCTACACCGAAAACCCATCTGTACATCACCATCATCAAAGACCAAAAGTAGATAAAACCACAAAGATGGGGAAAAAACAGAACAGAAAAACTGGAAACTCTAAAACGCAGAGCGCCTCTCCTCCTCCAAAGGAACGCAGTTCCTCACCAGCAACAGAACAAAGCTGGATGGAGAATGATTTTGACGAGCTGAGAGAAGAAGGCTTCAGACGATCAAATTACTCTGAGCTACGGGAGGACATTCAAACCAAAGGCAAAGAAGTTGAAAACTTTGAAAAAAATTTAGAAGAATGTATAACTAGAATAACCAATACAGAGAAGTGCTTAAAGGAGCTGATGGAGCTGAAAACCAAGGCTCGAGAACTACGTGAAGAATGCAGAAGCCTCAGGAGCCGATGCGATCAACTGGAAGAAAGGGTATCAGCCATGGAAGATGAAATGAATGAAATGAAGCAAGAAGGGAAGTTTAGAGAAAAAAGAATAAAAAGAAATGAGCAAAGCCTCCAAGAAATATGGGACTATGTGAAAAGACCAAATCTACGTCTGATTGGTGTACCTGAAAGTGATGGGGAGAATGGAACCAAGTTGGAAAACACTCTGCAGGATATTATCCAGGAGAACTTCCCCAATCTAGCAAGGCAGGCCAACGTTCAGATTCAGGAAATACAGAGAACGCCACAAAGATACTCCTCGAGAAGAGCAACTCCAAGACACATAATTGTCAGATTCACCAAAGTTGAAATGAAGGAAAAAATGTTAAGGGCAGCCAGAGAGAAAGGTCGGGTTACCCTCAAAGGAAAGCCCATCAGACTAACAGCGGATCTCTCGGCAGAAACCCTACAAGCCACAAGAGAGTGGGGGCCAATATTCAACATTCTTAAAGAAAAGAATTTTCAACCCAGAATTTCATATCCAGCCAAACTAAGCTTCATAAGTGAAGGAGAAATAAAATACTTTATAGACAAGCAAATGCTGAGAGATTGTGTCACCACCAGGCCTGCCCTATAAGAGCTCCTGAAGGAAGCGCTAAACCTGGAAAGGAACAACCGGTACCAGCCGCTGCAAAATCATGCCAAAATGTAAAGACCATCGAGACTAGGAAGAAACTGCATCAACTAATGAGCAAAATCACCAGCTAACATCATAATGACAGGATCAAATTCACACATAACAATATTAACTTTAAATATAAATGGACTAAATTCTGCAATTAAAAGACACAGACTGGCAAGTTGGATAAAGAGTCAAGACCCATCAGTGTGCTGTATTCAGGAAACCCATCTCACGTGCAGAGACACACATAGGCTCAAAATAAAAGGATGGAGGAAGATCTACCAAGCCAATGGAAAACAAAAAAAGGCAGGGGTTGCAATCCTAGTCTCTGATAAAACAGACTTTAAACCAACAAAGATCAAAAGAGACAAAGAAGGCCATTACATAATGGTAAAGGGATCAATTCAACAAGAGGAGCTAACTATCCTAAATATTTATGCACCCAATACAGGAGCACCCAGATTCATAAAGCAAGTCCTGAGTGACCTACAAAGAGACTTAGACTCCCACACATTAATAATGGGAGACTTTAACACCCCACTGTCAACATTAGACAGATCAACGAGACAGAAAGTCAACAAGGATACCCAGGAATTGAACTCAGCTCTGCACCAAGCAGACCTAATAGACATCTACAGAACTCTCCACCCCAAATCAACAGAATATACATTTTTTTCAGCACCACACCACACCTATTCCAAAATTGACCACATAGTTGGAAGTAAAGCTCTCCTCAGCAAATGTAAAAGAACAGAAATTATAACAAACTATCTCTCAGACCACAGTGCAATCAAACTAGAACTCAGGATTAAGAATCTCACTCAAAGCCGCTCAACTACATGGAAACTGAACAACCTGCTCCTGAATGACTACTGGGTACATAATGAAATGAAGGCAGAAATAAAGATGTTCTTTGAAACCAACGAGAACAAAGACACCACATACCAGAATCTCTGGGACGCATTCAAAGCAGTGTGTAGAGGGAAATTTATAGCACTAAATGCCTACAAGAGAAAGCAGGAAAGATCCAAAATTGACACCCTAACATCACAACTAAAAGAACTAGAAAAGCAAGAGCAAACACATTCAAAAGCTAGCAGAAGGCAAGAAATAACTAAAATCAGAGCAGAACTGAAGGAAATAGAGACACAAAAAACCCTTCAAAAAATCAATGAATCCAGGAGCTGGTTTTTTGAAAGGATCAACAAAATTGATAGACCGCTAGCAAGACTAATAAAGAAAAAAAGAGACAAGAATCAAATAGACACAATAAAAAATGATAAAGGGGATATCACCACCGATCCCACAGAAATACAAACTACCATCAGAGAATACTACAAACACCTCTACGCAAATAAACTAGAAAATCTAGAAGAAATGGATACATTCCTCGACACATACACTCTCCCAAGACTAAACCAGGAAGAAGTTGAATCTCTGAATAGACCAATAACAGGATCTGAAATTGTGGCAATAATCAATAGTTTACCAACCAAAAAGAGTCCAGGACCAGATGGATTCACAGCCGAATTCTACCAGAGGTACAAGGAGGAACTGGTACCATTCCTTCTGAAACTATTCCAATCAATAGAAAAAGAGGGAATCCTCCCTAACTCATTTTATGAGGCCAGCATCATTCTGACACCAAAGCCGGGCAGAGACACAACCAAAAAAGAGAATTTTAGACCAATATCCTTGATGAACATTGATGCAAAAATCCTCAATAAAATACTGGCAAACCGAATCCAGCAGCACATCAAAAAGCTTATCCACCATGATCAAGTGGGCTTCATCCCTGGGATGCAAGGCTGGTTCAATATACGCAAATCAATAAATGTAATCCAGCATATAAACAGAGCCAAAGACAAAAACCACATGATTATCTCAATAGATGCAGAAAAAGCCTTTGACAAAAGTCAACAACCCTTCATGCTAAAAACTCTCAATAAATTAGGTATTGATGGGACGTATTTCAAAATAATAAGAGCTATCTATGACAAACCCACAGCCAATATCATACTGAATGGGCAAAAACTGGAAGCATTCCCTTTGAAAACTGGCACAAGACAGGGATGCCCTCTCTCACCGCTCCTATTCAACATAGTGTTGGAAGTTCTGGCCAGGGCAATCAGGCAGGAGAAGGAAATAAAGGGTATTCAATTAGGAAAAGAGGAAGTCAAATTGTCCCTGTTTGCAGACGACATGATTGTTTATCTAGAAAACCCCATCGTCTCAGCCCAAAATCTCCTTAAGCTGATAAGCAACTTCAGCAAAGTCTCAGGATACAAAATCAATGTACAAAAATCACAAGCATTCTTATACACCAACAACAGACAAACAGAGAGCCAAATCATGGGTGAACTCCCATTCACAATTGCTTCAAAGAGAATAAAATACCTAGGAATCCAACTTACAAGGGATGTGAAGGACCTCTTCAAGGAGAACTACAAACCACTGCTCAAGGAAATAAAAGAGGACACAAACAAATGGAAGAACGTTCCATGCTCATGGGTAGGAAGAATCAATATCGTGAAAATGGCCATACTGCCCAAGGTAATTTACAGATTCAATGCCATCCCCATCAAGCTACCAATGACTTTCTTCACAGAATTGGAAAAAACTACTTTAAAGTTCATATGGAACCAAAAAAGAGCCCGCATCGCCAAGTCAATCCTAAGCCAAAAGAACAAAGCTGGAGGCATCACACTACCTGACTTCAAACTATACTACAAGGCTACAGTAACCAAAACAGCATGGTACTGGTACCAAAACAGAGATATAGATCAATGGAACAGAACAGAGCCCTCAGAAATAATGCCGCATATCTACAACTATCTGATCTTTGACAAACCTGAGAAAAACAAGCAATGGGGAAAGGATTCCCTATTTAATAAATGGTGCTGGGAAAACTGGCTAGCCATATGTAGAAAGCTGAAACTGGATCCCTTCCTTACACCTTATACAAAAATCAATTCAAGATGGATTAAAGATTTAAACGTTAGACCTAAAACCATAAAAACCCTAGAAGAAAACCTAGGCATTACCATTCAGGACATAGGCGTGGGCAAGGACTTCATGTCCAAAACACCAAAAGCAATGGCAACAAAAGCCAAAATTGACAAATGGGATCTAATTAAACTAAAGAGCTTCTGCACAGCAAAAGAAACTACCATCAGAGTGAACAGGCAACCTACAACATGGGAGAAAATTTTCGCAACCTACTCATCTGACAAAGGGCTAATATCCAGAATCTACAATGAACTCAAACAAATTTACAAGAAAAAAACAAACAACCCCATCAAAAAGTGGGCGAAGGACATGAACAGACACTTCTCAAAAGAAGACATTTATGCAGCCAAAAAACACATGAAGAAATGCTCATCATCACTGGCCATCAGAGAAATGCAAATCAAAACCACTATGAGATATCATCTCACACCAGTTAGAATGGCGATCATTAAAAAGTCAGGAAACAACAGGTGCTGGAGAGGATGTGGAGAAATAGGAACACTTTTACACTGTTGGTGGGACTGTAAACTAGTTCAACCATTGTGGAAGTCAGTGTGGCGATTCCTCAGGGATCTAGAACTAGAAATACCATTTGACCCAGCCATCCCATTACTGGGTATATACCCAAAGGACTATAAATCATGCTGCTATAAAGACACATGCACACGTATGTTTATTGCGGCAGTATTCACTATAGCAAAGACTTGGAACCAACCCAAATGTCCAACAATGATAGACTGGATTAAGAAAATGTGGCACATATACACCATGGAATACTATACAGCCATAAAAAATGATGAGTTCATGTCCTTTGTAGGGACATGGATGAAATTGGAAACCATCATTCTCAGTAACCTATCACAAGAACAAAAAACCAAACACCACATATGCTCACTCATAGGTGGGAATTGAACAATGAGATCACATGGACACAGGAAGGGGAATATCACACTCTGGGGACTGTGGTGGGGTCGGGGGAGGGGGGAGGGATAGCATTGGGAGATATACCTAATGCTAGATGACACGTTAGTGGGTGCAGCGCACCAGCATGGCACATGTATACATATGTAACTAACCTGCACAATGTGCACATGTACCCTAAAACTTAGAGTATAATAAAAAAAAAAAAAAAAAAAAAATCAACATGCAAAAATCGCTTGCATTCCTATACACCACCAACAGGCAAGCCAAGAGCCAAATTATAAATGAACTCCTGTTCACAACTGCCACAAAAAGAATAAAATACCTAGAACTACAGCTAACAAGAGAAGTGAAGGACCTCTTCAAGGTGAACTACAAGCCACTGCTCAAAGAAATCAGAGATGATACAAACAAATGGAAAAACATTCCATGCTCATGAATAGGAAGAATCAGTATTGAGAAAATGACCATGCTGCCCAAAGCAATTTATAGATTCAATGCTATTCGTATTAAACTATATTGACATTCTTTACAGAATCAGAAAAAAAATATTTTAAAATTCACGTGGAACCAAAAAAGACCTCAAATAGCCAACACAATCTTAAGCAAAAAGAACAAAGCTGGAAGCATCACACTACCTGACTTCAAACTATACTACAAGGCTACACTAACCAAAATAGCATGGTACTGGTACAAGAACAGACACATAGACCAATGGAACAGAATAGAGAACCTAGAAATAAGGCCAAACTTCTACAACAATCTGATCTTTGACAAACCTGACAAAAATAAGCAATGAGGAAAGGATTCTCTACTTAATAAATAGTGCTGGGAGAACTGGCTATCTATTTGCAGAAAATTGAAACTGGACCCCCTCCTTATACCATATACAAAAGTCAATGTATTTCTTAAAATACAAAAGCTAAATTCACTTTTCATTTTAAGTTCTCTTTGCTAGACAGCAAAAAATTGATGGAGATACAATGACATTAATTAAAGAATACTTTCCTTGATAAATTTTACTGCATTTAAAGAAATGGAATTAGGACACGCATTATTTCTACAGTGACTTCAACAATCATAGTTTCAGTCAAGGTTTTCTTAAGTTTTAAAGCTGGTGCCTTAAATTCAAAATCTAAATGTTGCTTATGAGCAGCTTCCATACTCAGCAGCTGTTAATCTTTTCCTTCTACAAAAAACCTAGAGTATCAAGTAATATACTCCATAATAATTTTCCAAGACCTGGCTAAGATGCAGACATACTCTTTTTAAAAATTAATTACAGACATAAAGGCAATGCCAGCTATTGAATGTGTATTTGACAACAGTCAGCCAAATTGAGGTAATGGCAAGTGTGATTTATTAATGAAAAAAATTATCAGGATATTACCATAACCTCATTTTGGAAATAATCAGAATTTATGACTATGAACTAACATAATTAAGAGGATGGAATAAAGAGTGCCTCTGCAAAGGACACAAAATCAAAAATTTTGTTCAATGGGTCATCTTACAATAGCAGCTGAATTAAAAGGCGATATGGTTTATGGAACCATTAATAAAGTTATTATTGAACCATTAATAAAGTTAGGTCTTACCTAGTATTTTATGTATTACATATATATACACACATACCACACACATACACACACACACACACACGACAAAAGCAACAGACTTGAAAGTAGTACTCTGCAAGCACTCTCCAAACACTTCTATCATAATCTTTCTGTGACATTTACACTTTAGCTGCTTTGTATTCTGTTATTTAAATTGATTGAATTTAGAAAGCAGAAAAACATTAAACAAGCTATATCAAAAATTACTGTCTTAACAAAACATCTCTAAAGAAAACTGCTGTTACTCTGTTTTAATCACCCATTTTTACCTGTGGCTCTCAGAAATCTCCAAGATATTTTCTTCTTGAGCATTTAGTAACATTTCAGATACCTGATACTGAGCCTCTAACAGGAGAAGAGTGTCCAGATCACAGCATATCACACTTAATAACCTATATAAAAAAGAAAAATAAACGTAGATTGTGTAAAATATGTCCCAAAAGCATAATTACATCCTTGATGTCTCAAAGTAATACCTGTACATCAAAATCTAAATCTAACAGAAAGTATCATTTAGTTATTTCAGATATATTTTTAATAAATTAGAATAGTAATCTCCTCTTCAAAAGTTGTTCTGAGTATTTTTAAAAGACCATGGGTAATTTCCAATCTAGATTTTTTAAAATGTATCTAAATCTACATAAATAGTAAATTTTCCTCTCAACTGCCACTTAATTTAAAAATTCATCAGAGAATTTTAGCAAATCCAGAAAAACTCCAAATTGCCACAACTTTTTATTCAGCAGTTAATTACCAAAGTTATGACAGAATCATCATTTTGCTGCCAATCTAGAAAATGTTCATTAGATAAAATGTCAGTGGCTAATTTTATAATTGTCAGATCAAGCTAAGAACACCTAAGCCCACTTATCTATCTTAATATTATTAAAAGATACAAGCAGAAATCATGTGTCTCCTATTATAATGCAAGAGGACATACACTGCACTGTCTATGAAGTACTCTTGCCCAGAAAACTGAACCTCAATCTAATCAATCCTATACATCTCATTATCAGTTTACAGGAAACACAGGCATTAGAGAAACATATTTAAAAACACTGTAAGGAGAAAACAGTCAACCAAATTCAGAGTTTTGAGAATCCTACACATTATTATATATATATTATTTGTTCAGAAAACAAAAAGTCTTAAAAGAAACAGAGACGAAAAGAAACTCTTACAAGTTAAAAAAAAAAAAAAAAGGACCAAATGTCAAGATTTTGTTTTGATCTTTGATTCAAGCAAACTTTAAAAGTGCATTTTTAAATCACACAGGAAAATGTGGCAGTAATACGAGATGAGATGAGAAAAATATTGTTAATTTTGTTAGATGTAACAATGGCACAGTAATGAAGGTTTTTTGTTTTGTTTTTTAAAACATGTCCTTACTTATTAGAGATATGCACTGAATGTTTTATATGTATCAGATATTTGCCTTATCTAAATATCAGCATATCAGATATTTGCAGGTCTAACATGATTACATATTAAAACAGATATTTGCCTTAAAGTACTTAAGAAAAAAATGTATGTGGAGGGAGGGAGATGAAACAAGACTGGTGAAATACTGATAATTAATAAAGATGAGTGGTGGGCACATGAAAGATTATACTATTCACTACATTTTTATATGTTTAAAAATTCTATGATTATAAAAAGTGTTCAAACAAACATATCATGAGAATGCTAGGGGGCTATGGTAGAGTGGGTGGTTAGGTAAGGTCTCTCTGAAAGGTGGTATTTGAGGAAATAGGCGATCCAAGAAGAAACCAATCTTCCAGTAACACTGGAAGGTTATATATCCACTTAGAAATAACCCAAAAGCATGGAGGAGGGAGAAAAACAGCATATCACAGAAATGTTTAACCACAAAATAAACTGAAGGGCAGCCAAAGGCAGTAAAAATAGGACAAATGGTGCTGGGGAAGGGAACGAATGAGACAGGATATTGTGGCTGTTCATGATATATATATATTCTCTCTTGAATGCCACCACGTAAGATGTGCCTTTCACCTTCCACCATGATTATGAGGCCTCCCCAGCCACGTGGGAACTGTGAGTCCATTAAACCTCTTTTTCTTTGTAAACTACCCAGTCTCAGGTATGTCTTTATCAGCAGCATGAAAATAGACTAATACAGTAAATTTTGGGCTCCTCCTACCTTTAAGTCAACAGGCTAAGGAGTTACAATGTTGGCTGGGGTGACTGACCTGGACTATCAAGATGAAATCAGTGTACTACTCCACAATGGAGGTAAGGAAGAGTATGCATGGAATACAGGAGATCCATTAGGGTGTCTCCTGGTATTACCATGCCCTGTGATTAAGATCAATGGGAAAATACAACAGCCAAATCTAGGCAGGACTACAAATGGCTCAGACCCTTCAGGAATGAAGGTTTGGGTCACTCCACCAGGTAAAAAAACCATGACCTGCTGAGGTGCTTGCTGAAGGTAAACAGAATACAGAATGGGTAGTAGAAGAAGGTAGTCATCAATACCAGCTATGACCATGTGACCAGCTGCAGAAATGAGAACTGTAATTGTCATGAGTATTTCCTCCTTATTTTGTTAAGAACATGCTTGTGCATGTATACACTTGTACTAAGAAAATATCTTCATTTTATTTCCTTTCTCCTTTATCATGTGACGTAGAGTTATTGACTTCATATCAGCATTTAAGTGTTGTTAACTTTATATAGCATTTGGGTTGGGGATTGGTGTGTTTCCGGTTGTATAAAGGATAGTTATATTATGTTAGGTGTAATTATAATCTTTTTGTTGCCTTTATTTGAAGATTACATATGATTTCAGATGTTTATGAGCTCACACTGACGAAGGGTGGACTTGTGATGGTTAATATTGAGTGTTAACTTGATTGTATTGAAGGATGCAAAATATTGTTTCTGGGTGGGTCTGTGAGGGTGTTGCCAAATGAGATTAACATTTGAGTCAGTGGGCTAGGAAAGGCAGATCCACCCTCAGTCTGGGTGGGCACAATCTAATCAGCTACCAGCGCAGCCAGAATAAAAGCAGGTAGAAGAGCGTGGAAAGACTAGACTGATTTACTCTTCCAACCTACATCTTTCTCCCATGCTGGATGCTTTTTGGCCTCCAACATTGAACTCCAAGTTCTTCAGCTTTGGGACTCAGACTGGCTTCCTTGCTCTTTGCAGGAGGAAGGCTTCCTTGAAGATGGCCTATTGTGGGATGTCACCTTATGATTGCATGAGTCAATACTCCTTAATGAACTCCCTTTTATATATACTTGTATCCTATTGGTTCTGTCCCTCTAAAGAACCCTGACCAATATGAAAATAAAAGCAAAATAAATTTCTAAGAAGAAAAACAAAATAAAATTCCCAAAAATGAGGAGTATAACCCAAGAGGCAATGCCTAATCCTCTGTTTTCAACAGTGGAAATGGAGTACACAAGACCCCCAATATGACACCAAGAAGCAGAAGGAGCACAGTGGAACCAGAAGTCACAAAAAACTCTATTAATAATTAATTACTAGTTAGATTACAGAGACAATTACTAACAGAAAACTGTCTACCTCCATATCAAGATATATGGGGGGTACCAGGGGAGGGGAGAGGATGGCCGGAAAAAGGAGCAAACACACACATACAAAATTTGGGCCTTTAGAAAAATTCCATCTAACCAGGAGCATGACCCTAGCTTCTCTAGCTTCTCTTAAGCATAAGCCTCCTACAAACAGCTGCTGTGAAAAAGCTCACATCTCTCCAAAAAGAAGTACCATACAAAGGTGCTATAAGAAAAAATAAAAAAAAAAGATAAAAAGATGGAAGATACATACTAAAAAAAAAGTTGCCTTTAAATATTAAACTGTGAACACACAATTTTCTATGAATTAAACAAGTTTGATAAAGCAGTGGTCTCCATTAAGCTCCTTGCACAAAATAAAAATCTATGAACACAGGGAAGAAATGGCAACCAGAAAAAGTAAAACATGAGCTGGCAGAGCTAAGGAATGAAATAGAAGAATAAAACTGTCATAGAAATGAAAGTATAATTGCAAACAGTAAAAAAGAAAACAGATACTGTTAAGAAGATAATAACAAATATAAGGAACAGAATGACAAAAATGTGAAAAATATAATGGAAATAAGGAGTTTAAATTATTGATTTCTTGAAGAGAAAACTGAAATAATCTAACATGATATATCTTTAAAGATATTAGTCAAGAAATTCTCCCCGGGAGAAAAAAAAGTCATCAATCTAAGTACATAAACTGTACAATATGTCCCAGAGTAAACTGAATCAAAAGAGTCAGCACGGAGACAGAACCTGGTAAAGTTAAGCTTAACAAGTAACAAAGAACCATTGGGGTATCCAGGCAAAACGACCAAGTTACTACAAGAGTGGGGCGAGTGACATGGAAGGAGGGGAAATCAAATTGTTCCAGACATAGCTGCAGCAACATTCAATACCAGAACAGTAGGACAAAACTGGAAGGAGGTCTAACATGATTAGATATTAAAACATATTACAAACTGTAAGAATTTAAACAGCTTTAATGACAAAGCAAAAGAAAGTCAAGACATAGACTCTAATACACACAGGAATTTTAAATTATGTTAAGAGTAAAGGGACCAGGCATACTGAATCATGCCTGTAATCCCAGCATTTTGGGAGGCTGAAGCAGACAGATCACTTGATTCCACGAATTCGAGGCCAGCCTGGGCAACATAGCAAAACCTGTCTCTATTAAAAATACAAAAAATTAGCTGCTCATGGTGGCACACACCCATAGGTCCCAGCTACCGGAGAGGCTGAGGTGGGAGAATCACCTGAGCCCAGGGGGTCGAGGTTGCAGTGAGCTGTGACTGCACCACTGTACTCTAGCCTGCGTGACAGACCTTGTCAAAAAAAAAAAAAAACTGATAAGATTTCCTGGTGAACTAATTATGATGTAGAGTAAAAGAAGAAAGAAATCAAGAATGACTCTTGGGTGTTTAGTTTGAACAATAGGGAGGATCAATGTTATCATCAACCCAGATATATAAGGCTGTAGGTTAAGAAGGTTTAGGGAGACACTTTTCTTTCTTTAGGCTACTAAACCACTGAATAGATAATGAAAATGACTGTCAGTGGATTTTGAGTTAAGATTTGAAAAGAGAGGTCTACAGGATCTGGATGTACAATGAGGTGATCCAAGGTGAATTAGGGCAACTGTATGAGTAAATACATACCTGGACTGAATTCTGCTAATTAGGGAATGAGTAAATCTAAAATAACAAATGACGTAAGACTTTTAAAATCTTACAAGTACTAGAAATAATGTAAAGCTTAGCAAATTTAATCCAGCAGTTAATTAAAATAGTACCATATTGTGACCAAGCACAGCTCATTCCAGGGATAAAAAGAGAGTTTAATATTAAAGTATCTCCTGATGTAATTTATGACATCAATATGTAACAGAAGAGAGCCATATAATCATCGGAACAGATGCTTAAAAGCTCTTTGATTTAAGATTCAACATCTACTTTCTATTCCTTGTCCCCCAAAACATTCTGAGTAAATTAAAGAAAGGTTACCTCTTTAATTTGATTTTTTAGAAGACAAATCTATCTCAATACAAGATCTAAAAGCATAAACAGGAAAAGCATTCCCATTAAAGTCATCAGGAAGGCAAAACTGCCAATTATTTTTTAACATCGTTCTAGAAATTCAAGATAATGCAAAAAGACAAGAATAAAATAAAGAGGCATGCTATGCAAAAGGAGATAGAATGTTCATTATTAGAAGACAATAAAACTGTTTGTGAATCCATCTCCTAATCACATAAATTTCAATTTACTAAGAAAAACACTGGTTGAATACCTACTAAGTGCCTACTACTGTTTTAAATGTTGGCAATTCGCCAATAAACACACATACATACAAATATCCCAGTCTTTATGGAACCCTAAATAGTAGGGGAAGGGAACAACGAACAAAATTAAAAATTAAACAACAAAGTAATGGATACTACTAAAACAAGAAAGTGAAAAATGAGTTTTAACAAGCAGTGAAAAAAATATATCACTGTGTGTAATTTTAAATAACGTGGTCAGGAAAGAGCTCACTAAGAAGGTGATAACCTTCTTAGGAAAGACCTAAAAGTAGTGAGGAAGCAAGCCATGTAGCTATTGGGGGAAAAGGTGTTCCAGGTACAGCAAATAGCTTCAGTCAAATACCTAAGGTGAGAGAATTTCTAACCTGTTTGAACAGGAAGGGGGCCAATATAGCTGAAGTGGAATAACAAAGGGAGAAGTACACATTGAGCATCCCAAACTCCAAAATCCAAAATGCTTCAAAATCCAAAATGTTTTGAGCACCAACATGATGCCACAAGTGGACAATTCCACACCATGTTATGGATCACGGTCACAACACAGTCAAAATGCACAACACACAGTTTACTTGGCATCCCTACTGTTCAATGTACATTACCTGTTTTTCTCCCCCCACCCCCGAGATGGAGTTTCACTCTTGTCCCCCAGGCTGGAGTGCAGTGGTGTGATCTTGGCTCACTGCAACCTCCACCTCCCAGGTTTAAGCAATTCTCCTGCCTCAGCCTCTGGAGTAGCTGGAATTACAGGCACGCGCCACCACGCCCAGCTAATTTTTGTATTTTTAGTAGAGATGGGGTTTCACCATGTTGGCCAGGCTGATCTCAAACTCCTGACCTCGTGATCTGCCCACCCGCCTCAGCCTCCCAAAGTGCTGGGATTACAGGTGTGAGCCACCACACCCAGCCCAAGGTATAGTAACCTTTTAATCAAAACACGGCATCATAGGTGGAGACCGAAAGCCTGCAGTTTTATGTTCAACAGCTAAGAAAGGTGTTCTGGTGATGCTACTGTGCTGCCAGTTATCCTGAATATGTCATTTTTTTTTTACTGTATAAATGGTATGTTACATTTTTTAGTGTTAAATACTATGTGTGAATAAGTGTAAGGAAATGATTGCTTATCAGTAGCTGATATAGTCTGGATATGTGTCCCTGCCCATATCTCATGTCAAATTGTGATCCACAATGTTGGAGGTGGGGCTTGGTGGGAAGTGACTGGGTCATACGGGTGAATTTCTCAATGGTTTAGCACCATCCCCTTGGTGCTGTTCTCATGATAGTGAGCGAGTTTCTCATGATAGTGAATGAGTTCTCATGAGATCTGGTTGTTTAAAAGTCTGTAGCATCTTCCCTCTTGCTCCTGCTCCTGCCATGTAGGACGCTTGCTTCTCCTTTGCCTTCCACCATGATTGGACGCTTCCTGAGGCCTCCCCAGAAGCAGAAGCTGCTATGCTTCTCGTATAGTCTGCAGAACCATGAGCCAATTAAACCTCTTTTCTTCATAAATTACCCAATCTCAGGTATTTCTTTATAGCAATGTAAGAATGGACTAATATAGTAGCATACAAATTTAGAGTCAGGAAAGATGGTGACAGCAGGCAACCATAGATTGCCTACATTGGTGGCTGAGATAGTGACACCTTTGCTTTCTAATGGTTCAATGTACACAAACTTTGTTTCATGTATAAAATTATTTTAAAATATTGTATAAAACTACATTCAGGCTTTGTGTAATAAGGTTTATATGAAACATAAATGTATTTCATGTTTAGAATTGGGCCCTACCCCCAAGATATCAAACTATGGATATGCAAGTATTTCAAAATCTGCAATCTGAAATACTTCTGATCCCAAGCATTTCAGATAAGGATACTCAACTTGCATTAGGAGATGAGGTCAAAACAATACTAGGTAGGTGTATTAGTCCTTTTTCACACTGCTGATAAAGACATACCCAAGACTGGGTAATTTATAAAGGAAAGAGGTTTAATGGACTCATAGTTCCACATGCCTGGGGAAGACTCACAATCATGGCAGAAAGTGGAAGGCACATCTTACATGGCAGCAGGCAAGGGAAGAAGTGCCAGCAGGGGAAATGCCAGACACTTGTGAAACCATCACATCTCATAAGAACTCACTATCTTGATAACAGTATGGGGGAAACTGCGCCCATGATTCAATTATCTCTGCCTGGTCCCGCCCTTGACACGTGGGGATTATTACAATTCAACATGAGATTTGGGTGGGGACAGAGAGCCAAACCACATCAGTAGGGGTCCTGATTACATAGTCATCCATTGTGATGACTCTGGATTTTGTTATGGTGACATGAGAAATCACTGGGGATGGTTTCATACTGATGATATGAAAAACTTTGTGAGTACAGGACTGAGATTACCTGATTTGTATTTTAATGGGATCACTACAGCTGCTATGCACGTAATAGGCTAAAATTAGCTAGGAGCAGACAAAAAGAAACCAGTTAAAAAGCTATAGCAATAATTTAGATAAGATAGTAGCTTAAAACAGGGTATTCCTAGGATTTCTGGACTGAAAGAATGGCTCTGCATTGTCCAGATTCTTAGGGTAGCCCCCAAGATCCCCACCTCCTGGTGCTCATGTTCTTGTGTGATCCCCTTTTCCTGAGTGTAGGCAGGTCCTATGATATGTCTCTAACCAATGGAGTATGGTATAGGTGATACAATGGATGTGATTACAAGATTACATTCCATAAGACTGTAGTGCTCTTCTTGTTGGGTGTCTCCTGTGCTAGGAGTTGAGGGCAACTTTCAATAGACAGCTGTAAGAAAGGACCTCCAGACTTTAGCTAGCAAGAAAATAAAGCCTTCAGTCCTAAATCTGTAAAGAACTAAACTCAGCCAACAACCTGTGTGAGTTAGGAAGCAGATCTTTCTCGAGTTTCACATGAGACCACGGCCACAGCCAACATCTTGATTTCAGCCTTGTGAGACTGTGAACAGAGGAACCAGCTAAGACGTGTCCAGACAAAAACTGAGATAGTAAACAGGTGTTGCTTTAAGTCACAAAGTTTATAGAAATTTTTTAATAGAGCAATAAAAAATAATACAAACTCCAACTTTAACACCTAAGCAATTAAAAGTATGATAATGCTATTTGGTTGATAAGGAGAAAACAATTGGAAATGGCAGGGGGGATACATATACACACATACATACATATATATACACACACACACTAAATATATAGATATTTACTTTACATATAAATATGTATATTTATTTTATATATGAAGACAAAAACATATATATATATGTATAGTTTGTGTGTGTGTGTGTGTGCATGTGTGTGAAAATTACATAGGTGGCCTGTAAAAAAAAAAGTACCAAAAATAAAACTCCAATAAATTTACTTATAACATACCAGCAATAACCAATGAAGCATTACCATGGAAGAAGAGACCCCATTAACAATAGCAAAAAATATAACAGATGATAATAAAACAAATGATAATAATAGACGATATAATATTACAGATGATAATACACAATATAAAAAGGACAGGATCTATATGAAGAAAGCTACAATGTATGACTGAAAAATGTGAAGAGTTCAATAAATAAAGTCAAAGCACCTACAGGATGAGAATGTTAAATATTTTAAAGACGTGCATTCTCGACTAACTTTATTTATAAATTTAAATAAACATTATGTAACAATTTAATCAAAACTGTACAAAATATTTGTGCAGAATGTAACAAAATAACTGCACTAATAATCTAATCTAACAGACACTTATCACTACTTATCAAGTGCTTACCATGTTCTAAATTTGGGAGAGTTGTAGTGTATTTAGTTTCATGAAAACTTGGTAAGAAACATACAGCTTTTGTCTCCATATATAAAAGAAACAGAGGCACAGAGAGGTTAAGGACCTTCCCTAATATCAGTCTTGCAATGTGCTTCCAGTGTCCATGCTCTTAACTGCTCACTGATATTGTCACACATTATAATATACACTGGGGAACATACTATCAAGCTAAAAAAATTAAATCCATGAAAGATATATGAGACTTCTACATAGAAAACTACAAAATTTTAATGAGGGTAATTAAAGAATACCTAATTAAACAGAGATATATGTCATGTTTATAGATTGGAAAACGGTATTATGCAGATGTCAATTCATCCACCATTGATCTCTAGACTCAATACAATGATAATTAAAATCTCAGCGACTTGGTTTATGTGATAAGCTGATTCTGGAATTTATATGGAAAGAAAAGGACTAAAAATAGCTGAGATATTTTTGAAAAGACCAAAGCAAGAAGAATTGCTCTATCAGTTATTTTAACTTATTACAAAGCTATAGTAACTAAAATGAAGTTCAAAAAGTAACAAAATTAAAATATATTGTTTAGTCAGACACACAGACCAACGGAACAGAATGAAGAACCCAGAAATAAATCTACACACTTACAGCCAACTCCTTTTTGACAAAGTTTCCAAGAACATACAGTGGGGAAGAAACACTCTCTAATAAATGGTGCTGGGAAAACTGAATATTCATATGTAGAAGAATGAAACTAGATCTTTCACCATATGAAAAGTAAAGGCTTAAAGACCTAAATGTAAAACCTGAAACTATGAAACTACTAGGAGAAAACGCTGGGGAAACACTACAGGACACTGATCCAGGGAAAGATTTTTTGGGTAAGCCTTCAAAAGCAAAGGCGACAATGCAAACGTAGACAAATGAGATTACATCAAGCTAAAAAGCTTCTGTGCAGTAAAGAAAACAGTGGACAAACTGAAGAGACAACCTGCTGAATGTGAGAAGATATTTGTAAACTATCCATACAATAAAAATTTAATAAGCATAATATATAAGGAATTCAAACAACTCAGTAACAAATAATGATAATAATAATAACCCAATTTAAAAATGGGCAAAAGATATAAACAGGTATTTCTCAAAAGAAGACATACAAATGGCCAAGAGGTATATGAAAAAATGCTTAACATCACTAATCACCAGGGAAATGCAAATCAAAACCCAAACAAGATAACATTTCACTTCAGTTGGAATGGCTATTATCAAAAAGACAAAAAATAACAAGTGCTGGTGAGGATGCAGAGAAAGGGGAACATTCATACACTATTGGTGGGAATGTAAAGTAGAACAGCCATTAGGGAAAAGAGTATGGAGGTTCCTCAAAAACTAAAAATATAACTACCATATTGATATGGTTTGAATCTGTGTCCCCACCCAAATCTCATGTCAAATTGTAATCCCCATTTTTGGAGGAGAGCCTGGTGGGAGGTGATTGGATCATGAGGGCAGATTCCTCCCCCTCCTCTTCCCGTAATAGTGAGTTCTCATAAGATCTAGTTGTTTAAAAGTGTGTGGCACCTCCCACTTCTCTCTCTCTTCCTCCTGCTCCAGCCATGTAAGATGTGCCTGCTTCCCCTTTACCTTCCGCCATGATTGTAGATTTCCTGAGGCCTCTTCAACCATCCTTCTTGTACAGCCTGCAGAACCATAAGCCAATGAAACCTCTTTTCTTTATGAATTACCCAGTCTCAGGTATTTCTTTGTATCAGTGTGAGAACAGACTAATAAACATATGATTCAGCAATCCCACTGCTGGGTATATATGCAAAGAAGAGGAAATCAGTATATCAAAGAAGTATCTGCACTTCCATGTTTACTGCAGCACTATCCACAATGGCCAAGATATGGAATCAGCCTAAGTGTCCATCAACAAATAAATAAAGAAAACGTAATACATTTACTAAACGGAATATTATTCAGCCATCAAAAAGAATGCAATCCTCTCATTTGCAACAACATCGATGGAACTGGACATCATTATGTTAAGTGAAATAAACCAGGCACAAAAAGGCATATATCACATGTTCTTACTCACATGTGGGAGTTTAAAAAGCAGATTTCATGGAAGTAGGGAGTAAAATGGTGGTTCACAATTACTCTGATTTGATTACTACACATTGTATACATGGATCAAAATATCACACATATCCCCAAAATGTGTACCACTATGACATATAAATGTAAAAACCCAAAAATATATACACTGTCTAGCAATATATGACTAGGTAGTAAAATATATATAAGTAAACCAAAGAAGTAAACATCATAAAAGTCAAAATAATTGTTACCATTAGAGGGAAGGGACAGAGTCATGACCAACAAATGCAAATAGTACTTGCAAATTCTCTGTTTACTTGATTGAGATTTCATGAGTATTTATTTTATAACAATTTGTTAAGTTGTATGTTTATATTTTATCACATATTTATATTTGTACTATTTCATTAAAAACTGAAGTGTTATGCTAGGGTAGGTAATGAGAAAAAGTATATATTATATCAACAAGAAGTCTAAATGGGTATGCAACAAATGAACAAACTCAGAATACTAATAAAAGAATGCATACTTTCATGATTATGTATAAAGATTCCTGTAAGATTTGATATCAGCTAAATGCCATTTGGTACTCAATTATGTAATCATCTAATAAACAGACTTAATGGCTCATTAATTATACCAGCATATTTGTATAAGCTAGCAGTTAGACTAAACATAGAAGGAAACAGCACTTGAGTAACAGAATTTATTATTTTGCTTAACCATAATATTAAGGCTAGGTTTACAAAGTGAATGGAAGTATACAGGTTATGTTATATCCACCAATCTAGCAAAATTACCAGAAAAATACATCTGAAAACATTCCTATTATTAGAATTATAAGCAACAAATTGTCAGGTTTTATTTTTGTTGGCCCCAACCCAAATTTCCCAATTATGAAAAAAAATCAGGTATGTATTTCACATATAAAGCAGGCTGAAAAAAAAAGTCAACAATTATCCGTGTTAAATCCAAATTAACAGGTAAATGGATACAAGTTTTAATGGTGTATTTTTAGATTTTTTTAATGAAAAAGATAAAGTATTAAAAATCATTTAAAGTAAATTTATATAAAGATATCAACAGTATATTAACAGGGAAATTTCAGAAAACAGAGAGAAAGAGACAGACTGTGTGTGTGTGTGTTTGTGAGTGTGTGTAAATACACCAGAGCATCTCTATGTATGTGTCTCTTAGGACACAGTTAGAAAAATAGACTAATTCTGTCTATCCCACACAAAAACAGTCTTACAGTAGGCATTATGAAGTTACTTTTATCAAGATTTAGAGAAGTTTCTGTACACCGAAGGAAAGACAGTAAAATTCCCAGCTGTTCCTTTATTCCCTATTTCATACAATGCTAAGCAGTGTTCAACTATTATTCCACTATTATAATTTTAAGGCTCTCAGAGGCTCCAAAAGTCTAGTACCCTTGAGGATACGGGATGATGTTTGAAGATGATAAAGACATAACAGTTTGTTTGCTTGCAGCAAAGCTTTAGAGGCACGGCAGGTGGCTAGAGGTGGGAAGTATCTAGACTCTTCTGGTAAGACTAGGAAAGCATTTGTACACTTGAGGTGATATTCAGTCAAGTGTCTCACCTCCCTTGAGTCAGGTTTATCAACTTTCTCACTTCACCTCAGGTGTTGAAGGCCAAGTCCTTATTTCTATTAGGCATCTTGTGCTACACATAAGTATGATCTTACACAAATAATTTTCACAGAAACCTATCATCATTACATCTTCTCTTCCCTTTTTGTAATAAGTGAATTAAACCTTCTGTGAAGAAATACAGAAATCTCTAAAATATATTACATAAATAAAATGGTCAAAATTTATGAACTGTATGTATACCCATTGGAAAGAAAAAAACATAGTACAAGACGTCAATGGAGAGTTGCAGAATTTCTCCAACAGTCTTCTCACAGCAATAAAAAAACTACCCATATGATTTTATGGCTGCTATCAAAACCCTCTGAAATACTAAACACAGACAATACACACTATGTGCTTCAGGGAACAAACTTCCCATATACACCACAGAAGCTGGAAGTATTGCTCAATCTGCCCAATGATCTTAGGTTTCCTTAAGCTTTACAATAGTGTATCTGTTCATTACATGTAACAAAAGACATCATCAATATAAAAATTTCTTCACAAGAGTGAATCAACACAGTCTCTATGACTGGGAAGATACTACTGACTTGGCCAAATGTGAATGTCAGAAACAGGTACTTTCACCAGGCACGGACAATGTATCTTTACCATTTTATCAAAATTTGGTCTAGGGTAGCCTTGATTGTCCTAGCAAGCCAGAGGTCATGATGAAAAACTACTTCATTGGTGATATAATATTAACTGGACTTAGGTGGGCAGGAAGTAGCTGGTACTCCATATGCTTTAGTAAAACAAGAATTCCAGAGGGTAAGTAATCCATAAAAATTGAGAGGCTTGCCATCTCAGTAAAGTTTCTGAGTTCTAGTAGCCTAGAATCACCTGTAAAATGCATGACAAATTGCTACATCTCACATTAACTACCACCAAGAAAATGGCATAATGCACGATTTTAGCCTCTTCCAATTTTGGAAGCAACTTCTCTAATATTTGGGTGTACTGCTCAGAACTACTTATGACATCACCTGTAATTCTGTCAACTTTATGACCTACAGCAAAAACAAATAAAAAACAAAACTCATGCAGCCTCCAAGTTCAGATAGTCTATCACTTGGACCTTTACTCCAGCAGGTTCAATGCTGGTCATGGTTTCAATGACAGATTGGATAGTACAGGAACTTCTGACAAGGTGCAATACGAGATCACACACAGATTTCTAGGATTTTGGAGTGAATCTATGTTCCCTTTGTTAAATAACTATTCTTATTTTGTGATCCTCAATTTGATAAACATAATTTTGAGCTCCCACCATCGTGGCCACTTTGCACATAATCCCATTCAAGCAAGCACTAGGGCAGCTGAGGAAAGAGGCCGACCTATCCATGAAAGGGATTATTTTGCCTCCTTTGCAGGAAGAGGAAGCCCTTGAAGAACATTCACAAGTCAAAATTATTCCCTCAACCTGTATGTATTCTCAGAGGACCATGTATATACTTTTTTCCACCAATCTTCTCATACTATTCTGTAAGTTTTTTTTTTTTAATTCTGAGCCCCTGACCATCTAGACCAACCATTAGCAATGGTCCATAAACCTATACAAATCAGTACCTGAAGTCTCATCTGTCTCCAAAGTAAATGAGTAGATATGCTACTTCAAAATTTTCCCTCTTTGAAAAGTAATCCAATTCTAGCAGGTACTAATATATGATACAACCTATAAATCAGATTTAGTAACCGTTTTTCTTCTCTGGTCACCTAGTTAGAGAAAATTTCCCATGAGCCAGAGGTATACGTTGTGAATGTGAGTCATATGCTCATACAATTCACTTGTGTTATCAGGGCTAATTTAAACTTATCTTACAAATGCCACTTTCACTTGATGATGGAGTGCTATTGTGCACATATAAACTATATTTTAGAAAGTCATATAATGCACAATGCCAGATTGGTTGCCAAATTTGTATAGGAAATATCTGTGAGTTGAACAATATGGATTCCCTTATCAGAGATGATCTGACTACAGCTATTACTGAACATCCAGATTGCCATAGGCAGAGACCAACCCTGGACTCAGAAGATAGTAAATAACCCTGGGGAGACCAACAAGCTACCTAGTGGCAGGGTGATTACATTAAAAATGCCTTCTTACACCATACACAAAACTTCACATCCTTGGCTACTATGCTTTTCTATCAAACATTATCTTACTATGGACTTTCTAGGGGTGATGGCATCCACAAAACACTGTTTCTGACCAAGAAACTAGTTTAACAATAAAAAAAAGTAAGGCACTGAGCAAATATTCACTGGTCTTATGATGTGCCCTAGCTCCCAGAAGCAGATGATCATAGATATTGGTGGAATGGCATGTTGAAAACTCAGTAGGATATCACGCAGGACACAACACCTTGGAAAACTGAGGTGCTGTCCCACAAAATGCTCTGAACTAGAAACCAATGTATGATGTTATTTCTCTTATACCTGTAATACATGAGTCTATGAACTAAAGAGTAGAAGGGAAAATGATTTTCTTTGGTTTTCTAACCCTTTAACTTTGTGAAGCGTAGCGAGAAAGTTGATGGTTTAGAGATCTTATTCCAAACTAGAGTACTTCTACTAGAACTGAAAATTTAAACTTTCTTCTAATGTTTGAAGCTTCTCATATTCCTAAATCAATAGCAGAGTAAATTAACTGCGTTGGCTAGAGGAATTGATCATGATTATCAATGAAAGAAAGACTGCTCCTATGCAATGGAGGCAGAGGTAAATAAAGCCTGGTGCCCCAGGGATGCTCTGTAGCACCTACTAGTACTGCCATATCTAGTGGTAAAAATTGATGGAAGACTAACGCAAACCAATACAGAGAAGATGACAAAGGGCTCAAGAACCTCAATAACAAAGCTTTAGATATAAAAAAACAAAACTTAGATATAGATAATATATAGCATCCTAACCAGTGGGGTTGTTTGAATTACAAGAGAAAACAGAATGGGAAGAAGGGGAAAAGTTATAAATACCCACTAAAGCCATACGTCCACTTATAGAGACAAAGACTGTACTAACTAACCATATTTTAAACTTTGCTCTGTTAAGTAAGCATTTATATATTAAAAAGGAAATTTATAATTTCCTTTTTCTCCATCTCTCTCCTGCTTTACGTAGGGTGTTGATTTTGTAATTTAGTCTGTAGGTTAAAGGATATGAAGATACGACTAGAACTAAAGTAACAAAGAAGAAATACCACCAAATAAATACTGATGGGACTCTAGATTTCCCTGTTAGGGAAGAGGGTAAGGCCATTTTTGTTGTGGAAGGAAAATTACACTGTATTAGCTGAAAGAATGTTACTGCTATTGCTGTTGACTAAAACTTTAATGCTCTGAGGTTTAAATGACTCAAAATATTCAAAGAGCTTAGAATGGTCCTGCCAACAGTAAGCACTCTTGTAACTACTAGATATTAGTACTGAATTATTATATTTTGTAATAACAATCTTGGGATAAATTACCACTAGATATATAGAAAAACTAAGCAAATGAGAAATAGGAATAAATGATTCCTTACTAATTCTAGAAAAAAAATTGGGGAAGGAAATAAAATATAATCATAATATATCTTTGAATTGGCAGTGAATAACATTTAACCATTTTTAGCACAGTATCCCTTCTCTCAGGGGCACTTAGTATCTCTGATTCATTATTTTTCAGAAGGCAAAACCCTCCAATGTTCTGCTTAAGCAGGAGAAAAACAGTCACTCAGCTAAATGGTGTAGGAATGCAGGAAATCTGAAAGCATAACTAAGTCTTATAATTGGAACTAGTCTTATTATTGAAAGGGTTAGACTTTCACCTAATCCTCTACTTTCATCTGCATTCTCAGTAGTGCCCTTAATTCTAGTACCTCTGGAATGTTGTAATATGCAAATAAGTAGCTTCTGAGTTTTCCCTACTGCCAGCTTGGGTTTTAGCTTTCCTGGCCTAATAAATCAGTTACAACTTGTCCATTGGTTTTTCAGCTCCTGAAATTATATTGTGGAAGCCTCCAACCCATTCCCACCTTGAAAAACTTCCTCCGTACATCTCTTCCTACTGAGAAAGTGGCTCCATGAAAACAAGGGAGTAAACCAAGATAGGTAATTGGATCCCAGGTAACAGGGGATCTAACCCACAAGAGAGAAAAGAAATTCCCAGGATGATGATGAAGGGAAATCCCATGAAGGCTGATGCTCAGGGCCAAAAAAAAAAAAAAAAAAAGTCCTACAGTACAAAGTGGAACAAAAGAATGTGATAAAAGGAAAAAAAATAGATTATCTGATGCCCTTTAGCTGGTTGAGAGTTTATGTTTTCACAAATATGAATAGGATATTGTCCCTGCCCTCAAGAATGTGAAAGCCTTGTAGTTATAAAACATAATTGGAAAGAATGATTGTGGGGCACCTTGACATATATTCTGTGAAGCAGTACAATATATGGGTTAGGCATTACATTCTTTGGAACCGGTCTATCTGGATTCAAATACCAACTATACCAACTACCAGTTTTGTCACTTTAATTGAATGGCTTAACTTCTCTGTGTCCCAGTTGAATCATTTGTTTTAAAAAACAAAACAAAACAAAGGAGATATTAAGAGTACCTACTTCATAAGTTTGTTCTGAAATTGAGTGACTCAAATATAAAACCAATACAAATACCTGAGACATAATGAGCACTATATTAGTATTATGCAGTAGCAGAGGTTAGCAGTATATTTTTAGGATAGTCTAGGGATATATTACTAGCATGTACTTTGAAAATAAAGTAAATGTAAAATATTATGTAATTATTAACTCCAAGGAAAGTAAAGTTTTAGGAAAAAGGATACATAGTCATAACATACTACTTAAACTACCAATAAATAATATTTATACAGACATTATAATGGAAGCTTTTAATAGAGATTTAATCAAGAATATGACAAAACTATAGAACAGAGAGAGAAGGAGAGCCAATGAAATCTAAGTCCTAAGCTTCTAAATCCCTAAAGATAAGAGATGAAGGCTGAAAGTTAAACAAATCAAGATAGTGTAAGCGTGTTATTTTTAAAACCTGGAGATGAATCCTCCCCCCAACAAAAACAAAACAAAATAAGGAATTAAAAGTGGCAGCCTCTGAGGAGTGGAACTTGGGAGTACAGTAGAATGAGTAGGGGATTACTCTTCATTCTTAAAAACCTTCCCATACTTTTTGACTTTTTAAAATATGTACATTTATTACTTCAATAAAAATAAAAAATAGTGGTTAGTAGACATCACACAGACCATGAACTATTATCTTCTCTAGCTGCTCTGCCAAAAAGATAAATGTGGGCTCTGGGCTGGAAGTGGAAAGGAACTGAAGCCACACAGAATCTGGACCTTTATTTGGCCTTTGCTCCAATAGATAAAACAAAAACAAACATATTTGTTTTCTAAGCTCTAAACTGTCTTTTTTAAAAAATTATTTTCACCTTATTAAATTTTATCTCTAATGTAACAAAACCGAATTAATATGATTTAATTGTTGTCATAAAGAAAAATATTTGAGGTAAATAAGTTATTTTGTTTTAAAGAAACAAATGCCAATTTGACATCCCAAAGAAGTTTATCTTGTTTACATTAAAAACCTGAAATAAAATTCCTTCTGGGTAAAAGATTTCAGTTTAACCATAGGAAACTGGCATTTTTGACATCCCAAAATGGAAGCGTACTCAGGAACAAATCACAGCATACTCAATCAGAACTTCAGGGCAAAGAATTATAACCAGGGTCAGTCCAGAGCCCTGAGACTCACAGGATTTCCATGCTGAACATTAAGACTGACACAGTGAGTCTAACTGAGCATTTCCAACAGATAATATATTGTTACATGATATTAATATTGTATTAGTATAATTTTATATTTAAATATTAAATATTATTATAGTTAATATTAATGTTCATTATATTGACCCTATAAACGTTTATATGTTTATATGTTATATCTATATATTATAAAATGTAAATACACTAATTAAGGGCTTCTTATGCACTAGAAAAAAATGCTTGTAACATGTTTGATTCTAGAGCCCCAAGTAGTTTACAGACATCTAATTTATCATCATAACACTATACACAGCTGCATAGCATGTCAGCATTACCCAGGAGACATCAATATATATTTGAATATGCACCAAAAACACAACTAGCATAACCTAGTTATAATCAAAAGAGCAGTCTAAGGACAAGATATACATATACCAGCTCATACTAACCATACTGTGAGCCCTCCCTGGGGTTTTCCCATCAGTCCTGAAGAGACTGCTAGGCCCAGAACATATACCCTAAGTAAGACAGGACACTAAGAATTTTGCACTTGATCCTCATGTCCAATTATGGAATTATGGACAAGATACATTGTTTTGCTTCAGATACTAAGGGGCATTCCCAACTAAATGCCCATTTTAGTGTGAAAATGGGCATTTAGCATCACTGCAAAGAGGTAGATTTTAAAACACCACACACTATATAATTTCTTTCTTTCTCCTAGCCCAATACAGACACACACACACACACACACACACACACACACACACACACACACACACACACACACACGACCCTCTCCGTCCCCCACCACCCTCCTTACCTCTCCTTCCCAACTTCCCGGCAAGCCTCCCGCTCTTTCTCTCACCTGACCTCCCTCCTTTCCTCCCCACCAGTTCCAACCTCCCTCCTTCCCCCTCCACCTCATCCTTTCCTCATTCCCCCTCCACCTTATCCTTTCTTCCTACTCTCCCATGCTCCCTCCTCCTCCTCTCCCTGCCCCCCACCGTTCTTCCCTCTGTCTTCCTTCCCACCTCTCCTCTGCACACATACCCCTTCCCCCCACACACATCCACTCTCTCTACCCCCCTACACACCCACTCTCTCTACCTCCACCCCACATCTACCTACTCTCCCTTCCCTCCTCACTATCATCTTCCCGCCTCTAATTTTATCTCTGGAAATGAAAATCAGTGTCTCCTTTATGTTAAATGCTTATTTGAACTATCTGGAGGAATAAAATAAACTGTAAGATGAGGGACTAGCCTTTTCATCTGTTTTGGGACATATTTTGGATATGGTGAATCCTCTAGGAGTTTACTTAAAACCCAAACCAAATCTCACCAGAAACATGATAACTCTCTGGTCTTAATTACTATAAACTTTTTATGTTGCTGTTAAAATATTATCACATCATTAATGTGTGGAGGCAGGCGTTTGTCTGGGGTAACGAATGATTCTATGAAGTTTAGTGTTAGCTTTCTATCATTTCCACTTGAAAGAATCCCAAACATGTTCTTGGTTTATCTCACAACTACAGTCATAAGCCCCTTCTCTTTATCCCGCCACTTTCTCCTAGTACTAATTTAATATATACAGGGAAGAAAAACATTTCTTTTCTATTAACAGTCTAAATAATTCCATCTATACATCACCATAAATTATACTTTTACAAACTCTAAGCAAATACAATGTGTGTATGCATATATATATATATATATATGCACACATATGTATATGTGCTTGGTTAAGATACATATGCATGTGTGGATATGTAATATACATTTACATGTACATATATACATATATTTGGATATATACACATATCTGCATATATGGAAATTTTTGTTATATACATGCATGCACACCCATGTGCACACATATGTATCTTACTTAACCAAACACATTTCATTCCCCTAACATAAAAGTTTTCCTTCTGATTGGCACACACAAAAGTAGCAGAAATGTAAATCGCAATTCCTTTTCTGTCTGCTATCAAAATCAAGAGAAGAACATAAATTACATACAGTAACCACACCCTCAAATCTGAAGCTTTCAATTTTTATTTTTTATTTTTTATTATACTTTAAGTTTTAGGAAGCTTTCAATTTTCAATACACATACAACCATATCTGGAGAAGAGAAATAGGGAGCAGGGTCAGCTTGCCGATAAAATTGTGTAAGAATTTACACAATTCTGCAAAGAATGAGCGGAGACTATAGGAGGCCTGCTCACTTACTCTATGTACCAAATTCAGATCTGTGTTTTAGAAAATGTTCTGGATTGCCTGCAGTTGGATATTAGTTGGAGCTTTTGTAAACACACAGAGTATGGTTTTCGGGCATGTGGTGATTAATACTAAGTGTCAACTTGATTGGATTTAAGGATGCAAAGTACTGATCCTGGTGTGTCTGTGAGGGTGTTGCCGATGGAGATGAACATTTGAGTCAGTGGGCTGGGAAAGGCAGACCCACCCTTAATCTGGTGGGCACCATCTAATCAGCTGCCAGCGAACACAAAGCAGGCAGAAAAACGTGAAAAGGCGAGACTGGCCTAGGCTCCCAGCCTACATCTTTCTCCTGTGCTGGATGCTTCCTGCCCTCAAACATTGGACTCCAAGTTCTTCAGTTTTCAGACTTGGACTGGCTCTCCTTGCTCTTCAAGCTCACAGACAGCCTATTGTGGGACTTGTGATCATGTAAGTTAATACTTAATAAACTACCCTTTATATATATATATATATCCTATTAGTTCTATCCTTCTGGGGAACCCTGACTAATACATATTTTGGTACCAGGAATGGTTCTAAAGGAATAGAATATTAAGGATGTTCTTTCATTGGTTTTGGGGTTTCTGGAGTTGGCTGCTTAATATGTTCAGATCCAAAAATGCTAAGGACTCTACTTGTAATAGTATGGAGAACACTGATATTCCTTGGCATGAACTGTTTAGAGAGTTACATAAAATAAATAGATTTGACACTCCTGATTCACCTCTCATGAGAGGAAAGGAGTTTAGTGACTCTACATAATACCTTTGACCATATGTGGAGAACCAAGGAACATAATGAAGTTGGTTGGTTGCTCCTAAGTTCAGTGGACAAAGTAATGAAAGAAAATGATGAACTCTGGGATTCTGTCTCCTGGCTTCAGAAGCTGAGGCTCAAATCCGCTAAGATTGCCCATAGTGAGTGGCTTATTTCCTGTAGAGAAAGAGATGAAACTGTAGAAAAACACATGCAAGCTCTTATGCCAGTGGCTGACCTGCAACAAAATGTGCATGCACAGCCTCACCAGATATCTACTGTTAAAGTGAGGTCATTGATTGGAAAAGAATGGGACCCTGCAATTTGGAATGGAGATGTGTGGTAGGACCATGATGAAGCTGAGGACACTGAGTTTGTAAACTCAGATGAAACTTTTTTGCCAAAAGAAACAGCTTCCCCATCCCCAGTAGTGGCAACATCTCCTCCCTGACCCATGCTGCCATCAGTCTTTCCATCTTTGTCTGAGGAGACAAACCTTGTGCTACCTAAGACAACAATGATGGCCTCCCCTGAGACAGTTGCCCAGAAAATAATGTTGATTCTCCTCAGGAGCCACCTCCAACACCCCTGTTTACTTCTAGACATATAACTAAAGTCCTGGCAGGCCTCTAGAGGTGAGATTGAGATTGTGACCCAAGAGGTGGTGCACTACACTAGAAAAGAACTGCTTGAGTTCTCCAATCTCTATACACAGAAATCTGGAGAACAGGCATGGGAATGGATATTAAGGGTATGGGAAAATGGTGGGAGGAACATAGAATTGGATCAGGCTGAATTTATTGATTTAGGTCCACTAAGTAGGGACTCTGCATTTAATGTTGCAGCTCAGGGAGTTAAAAAAGGTCTAACAGTCTATTTGCTTGATTAGCTGAAATACAGATTAAATGATGGCCCACTGTGAGAAAGCTGGATATGACTGATCTCCTTTGGTTTAACATAGAGGAGGGGATCCAACATCTTAGGGAGACTGAGATGGTGGAGTGGATTAGTAACTAGACCTACTCATCCCAGTTGGGAGGGTCCAGAAGATACACCCTTGACCACTGCCTTGTGAAATAGATTTGAGGGCTGCACCTGAATCTTTGAAGAGCCCTGTAATTGTTCTTCTCTGTATGTCAGGTCTAACAGTGGGAACTGAAGTCATTCAACTACAAAATTTAAATACAATAAGAATAATTGGATCCCTATGTGGCAAGGGCCAAGTGGTGGCACTCAACCATCAAAGGCAAGGTGGGCCTAGCTACCGTAATGGACAACAGAAACAAAGCAGCAAACAGAACAGTCTGACTCATGTAGAGCTCTGACATTAACTAATTAATCACAGTGTTTTCAGAAGTGAAATTGTCGGGAAGCCTAATGCATTCTTGCTTAATTTATATTAGCAGAAAACTTTTAGGTCAAATGGACAAAAGATTAATTTGAATTATAAAAAGAGAATCACAGCGCCTCAATCAATTTCCAGACTGGAGCCAGTTTACAGACCCAGAACCCCTTAAGTGAAGGAGAGACTGGGTCCCCCTGAGGAAGCACCCCACTTCAGTACCAACAATCTAGGCTGTGAATATTTCTCCCATCCTTCCCTAAAGAGACCTTCAGCTTTGTACCTTCAGCAATGTAGAGGGTAACTGTGAATTGGGGAAAGGAAAATGATCAGACATTTTGGGAACTACTGGACACTGGCTCTGAGCTGACATTGATTCCAGGGAAAAAAAAACATCACTGTGGTACTCCAGTTGAAGTAGTGGCTTATGGAGGTCAGGTAATTAACGGAGTTTTAGCTCACGTTGACTTACAGTGTGTCCAGTTGGTCCCCAGAATCATCTGTGGTCATTTCCTCAGTGCCAGAATGCATAATTGGCATAGACATACTTAGAAGCTGGCAGAATGCCCACATTGACTCTCTGACTGGTAGGGTGAGGGCTACTATGGTGGGAAAGGCCAAATGGAAGCCATTAGAGCTGCCTCTACCTAGAAAAATACTAAATCAAAAACAGTATCACATCCCTGCAGGGATTGCGGAGATTAGTGCCACCATGAAGGACTTGAAGGATGCATAGGTGGTGATTCCCACCATATCCCCATTCAACTCTCCCATCTGGCCTGTGCAGAAGACAGACAGATCTTGGAGAATGACACTGGGTTATTGTAAGCTTAACGAAGTGGTGACTCCAACTGCAGCTGCTGTACTAGATGTGGTTTCATTACTTGAGCAAATTAACACATCTCCTTGTACCTGGTATGCAGCCATTGACTTGGCAAATGCCTTTTTCTCCATTCCTGTCCATAAGGCCCACCAGAAGCAATTTTTCTTCAGTGGCAAGGCCAGCAATATACCTTTACTGTCCCACCTCAGAGGTATATCTCTCCAGCTTTATATCATAATCTTACCCAGAGAGAACTTGATTGCTTTTTGTTTCCAAAAGATATCACACTGGTCCATTACACTGAGGACATTATGCCTATTGGATCCAGTGAGCAAGAAGTAGCAAACACACTGGAATTATTGCTGAGACATATGTCTGCAAGAAGATG
Organism: Homo sapiens; assembly: GCF_000001405.40. NCBI lineage: Eukaryota > Metazoa > Chordata > Mammalia > Primates > Hominidae > Homo > Homo sapiens. Next base: position 121,194,919 of record NC_000006.12, read on the forward strand.
GGAAATAAATCCAACTAAAATTCAGGGACCTTCCACCTCAGTAAAATGTCTAGGGGTCCAGTGGTGTGGGGCCTGTCGAGATATTACTTCTAAAGTGAAGGATAAGTTGCTGCATTTGGCCTCTCCTACAAACAAGAAAGAGGCACAACACCTAGTGGGCCTATTTGGATTTCGGAGGCAACACATTCCTCACTTGGGTGTGTTACTCCAGCCCATTTATTAAGTGACCTGAAAGGCTGCCAGTTTTGAGTGGTGTCCAGAACAGGAGAAGGCTCTGCAACAGGTCCAGGCTGCTGTGCAAGCTGCTCTGCCACTTGGGCCATATGATCCAGCAGATCCAATGAGGCTTAAGATATCTGTTACAGATAGGGATGCTGTTTGGAGCCTTTGGCTGGCCCCCATAAGTGAATCACAGCAGAGGCCTCTAGGATTTTGGAAAGTCCCTACCATCTTCTGCAGATAACCACTCTACTTCTGAGAGACAGCTCTTGGCATGTTACTGGGCTTTGGTGGAAACTGAATGTTTGACTGTGGGTCAAGTCACCATGTGACCTGAACTGCCTATCATGAACTGGGTTCTTTTTGACCCATTAGCCATAAAGTGGGTCATACACAGCAGCATTCCATCATCAAGTGGAAGTTGTACATATGTGATCGGGCTCGAGCAGGTCCTGAAGGCACAAGAAAGTTACATGAGGAAGTGACTCAAATGCCCTTAATTTCCACTCCTGCCACCCTGCCTTCTCTCCCCCAGCTTGCACAGATGGCCTCATGGTGAGTTCCCTATGATCAGTTGACAGAGGAAGGGAAGACTAGGGCCTGGTTCACAGATGGTTCTGCACGATATGCAGGCACCACCTGAAAGTGGACAGCTGCAGCACTAATAGCCCCTTTCTAGCACATCCCTGAAGGACAGTGTTGAAGGGAAATCTTCCCAGTGGGCAGAACTTCGAGCAGTGCACCAGGTTGTGCACTTTGCATGGAAGGAGAAATGGCCAGATGTGTAATTATACACTGATTCATGGGCTGTAGCCAGTGGTTTGGCTGGATGGTAAGGGACTTGGAAGACACATGATTGGAAAACTGGTGAGAAATAAATTTGGGGAAGAAGTATGTGGATGGACCTCTTTGAGTGGTCAAAAACCATGAAGATACTTGTATCCCATATGAGTGCTCACCAACAGGTGACCTCAGCAGAGGAGGATTTTAATAATCAAGTGGATAGGATGACCCGTTCTGTGGACACCATTCAGCTTCTTTCCCCAGCCACCCCTGTCATCACCCAACGGGCCCATGAACAAAGTGGCCACTGTGGCAGGGATGCCATGGTAGCAGGGATGGAGGTTACTCATGGGATCACCAACATGGACTTCCACTCACCAAGGCTGACCTGGCTACGGCCACTGCTGAGTGCCCAATTTGCCAGCAGCAGAGACCAACACTGAGTCCTTGATATGGCACCGTTCCTTGGAGTGATCAGCCAGCTACCTGGTGGCAAGCTGCTTACAATGGACCTCTTCCATTATGGAAAGGGCAGAGGTTTGTCCTCACTGGAATAGACACTTACTCCAGATATGGGTTTGCCTATCCTGCACACAATGCTTCTGCTAAGACTACTATCCGTGGACTCATGGAATGCCTTATCCACTATCATGGTATTACACACAGCATTGCCTCTGACCAAGGCACTCACTTTACGGCTAAAGAAGCAGGGCAGTGGCTTATGCTCATGAAATTCACTGGTCTTACAATGTTCCTCATCATCTTGAAGCAGATGGATTGATTGATAGGAGGGTGGAATGGCCTTTTGAAGTCACAAATACAATGTCAACTAGGTAACAATACTTTGCAGGGCTGGGGCAAATTCTACAGAAGGCCACGTGTGCTCTGAATCAGCATCCAATATATGATACTGTTTTTGCCATAGCCAGGATTCATGATTCCAGGAATTAAGGAGTAGAAGTGGAGGTAGCACCACTCACCATCACCCCTAGTGATCCATTAGCAAAATGTTTGCCTCCTGTTCCCACAAGATTACATTCTCTTGGCCTAGAGGTCTTAGTTCCAGAGGGAGGAACATTGCCACCAGGAGACAAAACAATGATTCCATTAAACTGGAAGTTAAGGTTGCCACCTGGATACTTTGGGTTTCTCCTACATTTAAGTCAACAGACTAAGAAGGGAGTTACAGTGTTCACTGGGGTGACTGACCCAGACTATCAAGACGAAATCAGTCTACTACTCCATAATGAATGTAAGGAAGAGTATGTACGGAATACAGGAGATCCATTAGGGCATCTCTTAGTATTACCATGCCCTGTGATTAAGGTCAATGGGAAACTACAACAGCCCAATCCAGGCAGGACTACAAATGGTCCAGACCCCTCAGGAATGAAGGTTTGGGTCACTTCACCAAGAAAAAAACCATGACCTCCTGAGGTACTGAAGGCAAAGGGAATACAGAATGGGTAGTAGGAGAAGGTAGTCATCAATACCAGTTACGACCACGTGACCAGCTACAGAAAAGAGGACTGTAATTGTCATGAGTATTTCCTCCTCCTTTTGTTAAAAACATGTTTGTGATTGTATACACTTGTACTAAGACATTATCTTCATTTTATTTCCTTTTCCTTTATCATGTGACATAAGATTTATTGACTTCATATCAGCATTTAAGTATTGTTAACTTCATGTAATAGTATTTGGGTTCAGGATTGAGGCGTTTCTGAGTGTAAGAAGGATAGCTGTATTATGTTAGGCGTAATTATGATCTTATTATTGTCTTTATTTGAAGATTATGTATAATCTCAGGAGATGTGTATGGGTTCAAGCTGACAACAGGTGGACTTGTGATGGTTAATACTGCATGTCAACTTGATTGGACTGTATGATACAAAGTACTGATCCCGGGTATGCCTGTGAGGGTGCTGCCAATGAAGATTAACATTTGAGTCAGTGAGCTGAGGAAGGCAGACCCACCCTTAATCTGGTGGGCACCATCTAATCAGCTGCTAGAGAATATAAAGCAGGCAGAAAAACATGAAAAGGTGAGACTGGCCTAGCCTCCCAGCCTACATCTTTCTCCTGCGCTGGATGCTTCCTGCCCTTGAACATTGGACTCCAAGTTCTTCAGTTTTGAGAGTTGGACCGGCTCTCCTTGCTCCTCAAGTTTGCAGACAGCCTATTGTGAAACCTTGTGATCAGGTAAGTTAATACTTAATAAACTCCCCTTTGTAGATATATAATATATATACACATATCCCTTTGTGTATAATATATATTTTATATATTATATATATGTGTGTATAATATATATAAATATATATATTATATATATATATAATATATATATATAATATACACACACACACACATATATATGTATCCTATAAGTTTGGTCCCTCTAAGGAACTCTGACTAATACAGGGCATATTGAGTTTGTGGAGCTTGCATGATACACAGATCCAAATGCCACATAAAACTTGCAAATATGCTCAGGACAGGCTTAGGGCTGGACATACAGATATAGGGGTAGTCAGTAAAGAGTGACCGGCCTGGCACGGTGGCTCATGCCAGTAATCCCAGCACTTTGGGAGGCCGAGATGGATGGATCACGAGCTCAGGAGATGGAGACCATCCTGGCTAACACGGTGAAACCCTGTCTCTACTGAAAATACAAAAAATTAGCCAGGCATGGTGGCAGGCGCCTGTAGTCCCAGCTACTCGGGAGGCTGAGGCAGGAGAATGGCATGAACCCGGGAGGCGGAGCTTGCAGTGAGCCGAGATCCCGCCACTGCACTCTAGCCTGGGCGACAGAGCGAGACTCTTGTCTCAAAAATAAAAAATAAAAAAAAGAAGTGATCATCGAAGGCACTGTAGATAAAATGGAGGGTGAACTAAAGACATAACTCTAGGAGACAATTCAAATTGAAAGTTTAATAAAGGAGGAAAATAAAGAATTAGCAAAAATGAACGACACAAAAGGAATCCCAAAATAAAAGAGAATAAAGTCACTGATGCTGCCAAAAAGACTGTATCTAAGAAAGTATGGCACTTAGCAAAGACGCAATAAATATTTTCTGAATGAATGAACAAAAATGAAAGGAATACATTTCATTAAGTAGGCAGAATATAAAATGCTACAGAGAGCTCAAGAAAATTAAATCATAATAAGGGTGTAGATAAAAATACATAAGGTTGGAAAATGTGCCTATCCTTTGACTTAGCAAGTGTATTTCTACAGATTTGTTGTGGAGCAACAATTATAAACATCAAGATATTTATCCATAGATATTTAAAAATAAAAAAACACCTACGTGTGTAAAAACAGAAAATTGAGATTCAATCGTGTACTGGAATATTACTTAATCCTTTAAAATTATGATACAGATTAATATTTATAGGTGTGAATGGATAATTTTAAATACTGAAGTAAAAAAGGAAGTCTCAAAACAATAACACTCCTATTTTTCAAAAAAAAATCTGTAGCTAAAGATCAAAATATGAGCATAATAGGGTTAACAGTGGTTACCATGAAGAGGTAGGGTAATGAGTGTTGCTTTCTCCTTTTGTTTTCAGCATTCTTGAATTTTTCTATGTAAACAAGAATTGTTTGATTAAATTAGAATTTTGAATTAGTTACTGTCTTCAATCAGTAATCGATCATTTTATTATTTTTATTATTAACTTGAAAAAATAAATTCTAGATGTGTGTGTATATGTATATATGTATACATGTGTATATAAAATCTAAAATATGGATGGTTTTGTCATCATGTTATATTCTAATTTCTGATATTAAAAAAAGATTACAAGAGGTAATTGTGAGATTATTTCTTGTTACTAAGGTTAATCACATTTAAGTCTAGTTAGCAACTGGGTCACTGGAAATAAATAATTTGGTGATTTGTTGTGATGAAATACTAACATTTGGCTATGTTTGTTACTTGTTAAAATAACCAAACTGCTTTTAATTACACTAATTTTTAAAACAAATATGAATTTTTAACTTTTCATATTAAAGTCATCTCAGAGGTCAGACTTTTTTAACAAAGAAGCTAATGATGCATAAACCTGTTCATTGTACTATATATAAAACTTACTGTTGGTGGGTAAATATAAAATAATAACAAATGGCAAATGATTAATTTTAAAGGCTGTTCTGTAAGTATAGACTCCCAAGTTTTGTTTTTAAGAAAATTAACAATAAATAGGCCACATTATAGTTTCAAATGAGCAAAGAAGAAATAGGTTTTAGAAGGACAATATTAACATTTTTAAACCATGTTAAATTTTAATATATATTTAACTAAGAGTTACTACGTAAGATTTAAATTGTTAAAACTAAGTACATCTTTAGCATTGAAGATAATTCAAAGTTAAAAAAAAAGCTGCAATTCCACAGCCTATAATAAAACTTAATGTGGTCAGTTTGATATAAAGAAAACTATTAATGTTAAATGATGATATAATGTTTCCCCACGATATTTACAGCTTTTGTTTTGAAATAAAATGTCCAAGAAGGAATATAACATTACTCTAAACCTACTAAAAATGGTTAAGAAAAGTTTAAGCTGCTAAGCCTTGGGCAGTATCAAAAGTTTCCAGGCAACTGTTTTAATCAGTCAGCAGATTTAACAAATAAATGCTAACCAAATAACTCAAAACGATCTGGCAATGTGGTAGACACGAAAGTAGAAGAAAATAATACTCCCTTAGGAAACTGAAGTTTTATTCAGAAGAAGAAATAAATTAACTATTAAATCTGTGGGAAGGACCATAAAGGCAAGAGGCATGCAAAGAGAAGACAAGATCAGAATGGGCTATAAGTAATTCATAGAGCAAGCTTTGTGTTGAAGGATGGGTTGAATTTGTATAAGTAGACAAAAGCAAAGACAGTAGTCAAGACATAAAAAACAAGTACAGAAGCAGGAATAAATGCTGTTTTGTCCTTGAGGGAGATAAGGAGTCTAACCTCCTCGGAGCATTAGTTCAGGCTAAGGAAGGGTAGGAACTATTGTACACAGGAAAGGTAGAGATACATTAGGGTAAGACACACAATGGTGTCCAGAATTGCCAGTAACTTAAAATGATAAAAGATGGGTGAGGGCTTTATAAGAACATGTTTCTTTTCTGCCTTAATTACTTCACATTCTTCGATTAACTAATTATCTTACTCCTCACTAGATAACAAGGTTAAAGAGAATGAGCACCACATCTGATTCACTCATCATTGCATTCCCCATACTAGCACAGTCTGTAGCTCAGAATACGTATTCAATAAATACTGGTTGAGTAAATATAGAAGAGTACATTTTTAAATTGTAAATTTACTGTGTAGTCATACATAAAAGGCACTTCACATATTAGGTAACTACACTGAAAAATGCAGATTAGCTTATTGCTTAATCACACTCCTGGAGAGGGAGGAAGATAGGGTCTCTGACTCATGACGGTGGGTTAGGAAATGGGCAAAGGAACTACTTTTTAACACAGGTGAGGACAGGGGAAGTGGGCAGCTGACAAGAGCATGAATGTCTTCATCTATCATAGCAGAGTTGATCAGTACTGTCCAAAAGTGAAAAATCACACTCAAACCTCTTGAAATGTTTTACACAATGTTTTCTCTTTACCTTAGAGGAATCTCTTCGAAAATAATGACCCCTGGAGAGAAAAAACAGTTATTTGAAATTCAGCAATTCCTTCAGTCTCACACTGGGGCTTCTTTTTTTTTGTTTTCCTATAAAATTCAGTTCAAATTTAAAGTGGCAACTGTACTATAATTCTATTTTTATAAAAGAATTTATTTTTATATATCTGCATATCTTTCTGTCTGTATATGTACAGAAAGATGCCTAGAATGATTTTCCACAGTGTTAATAATGACCGTTTTAGAATTACAAGGAATTTCATTATATTTAATTTTCTGCATTGGTTAATTTATTTATAATAAAGATCAACTATTGTTTAAAAAAACAGAAAAAAGTTATGATGACTTTCAAAATTAAGCAATTAAAGAGACGGTTGGGTCACTTAATGAGACAGAAATGAAAGATGTATTTTGTTTGTTTTTGTAGAAGGAGGTTTGGGAGACCCAAGAGTTCAATTTTCAACATGTTTAAGTGAGAAATGTATAAATTGAGATGTCAGAAGGCAGGTGTATATATAGGTTTGGTAGCTGAAAAGAGAGGTCTGGGCTAGAGATATAAATGGGGGCATCTACTAGCATATAAATGATATTTAAAGGCAAATGTTTAAGTGTAATAAATTAAGAGTAGAGTGCACAGAAACCTAGGATCCTTGGTCCTGGGTCCAGGACTAAATCCTGAGTATTCCAACATTCAGAGGTTGACTAGAGAATGAAAAAAAAAAAAAAGAAAGAAAGAAAAAGAAACCGCAGCAATAAGAGTGTGTGATACACAGAAATGAAGAGAATTTTTCACACAGGAAAAAAAAAAAAATGGTCCCCTATATCAAATGCTACTGACAGTTATAGTAAGATGAGAAAAGAGAAGAATTCACTAGATTCATTAGCATGGAAGTTACAAGTGATCTAGCGATGAGCAGGATGAATAGTTCTGACAAAATTATAAAGTCAATGTCAAATCAAAGTGAGTTGAGTAAATACGGGTGAGCAACTGAGGACAGTTTGTATAGACATATTTTGCTATATAGATCAGTGGCTGCAAGGAGACACAAGGTCAAGGATATTTCTTTGGGTGGTTTGTTGTATTTCATTGTAAGATGGGACATATGAAGGCATGTCTTCACACTAATAGGAATGATCTAGCATAAAAGGATAAGTTGGAAGAGGGAGAAAAGGCGTAGGGGTGAAGGAGGGAGGCTAATCAAAGGAGCACCCTTCTTGAGTATTAGTCATTTACAATGTAAGATTTGTAAGATCTTGGCAATTTAAAATTCAGAACTTTAAACAGAATGTGATGCTGTTCACGCCACATTTCACTAAGCCTCATATTAGCTTCATCTGAGTGTTGTGATAAATAAGTTGTACCAAGCATTACACTTAATGCTACTGCTACAGTTTTGAGGCAGAAGAAAATATAAAGCAAATGGAACAAGCAATGAAAAACATAGATTCAGACACATTAATGGATAATCCACTGAAGAGAAAGGTACAAGGAAGGCTTAACTAGAAACAAACAAAAAATACTATGGGAATAAGAGAGAAACATATGGGTAAAAATCCCAAACACACAGAAACACAAGGTTTATGAAAAATGCAAAGCTATGATCTAGATTTATCACCATTAGATATCAATGACCAATAATAGAAATTAGTAGAAAAATGAAAGTAAATTATTAGCTTAAAATGTATGACTTACAAATATACCTGACCTAAAGATTATTATGAATAGAAATCTCAAAACTACATTTGTGTAAGAAAAACTTGTTAAAAAGCCAATAAGGTTAAAATACAAACTTTTCCTCAAAAAGTAATTTTGTCATTTTCTCTTTTTGAATGCTGATACAAAACAAGCAAATTACTAGGTAGCATGTTTATGACTACTGAGATACCGAAAAAATGAAGACAAAAATTATTTCATAGTAAAACACAAAAACAGCATAGATCAAGTAGATATAAAGAAAGACATGAAGAACTGCTATTAGAACTATTAATACTACTGTTTTTACAGTGTTTTCTGTGTGCCAGGTACTATTTTAAGCCTTTTTAATTTTTCATATCAATTATGAAAATAACTCTGTAAGGAAAATAATGTAATTATCCTCCACTTTACAGATGAGTAACTGAGACCCCATCTCACACAACCAGTAAAGAGCAGGCAGTTTGATCACAACGTCCATGTTGCTAACCACCATACTGCACTATTCTTTTATCTATCAACAATGGGACAGTAAATTCTTTACAGTAGCATAGAATGATAACATTTGGATATTATGAGAAAGCACATACTATGAAAATTAATGTATGTTATTCCCAGGAGCATTTCACTTCTTGGATTGCTTTTTATATAACTTAATAAAGTCTTATTGTTAAATCTTCTTCCAAAGAACACTACAGAAAATATTATTCCATACAAGCAAGAAAATATACAGGAAAAAAAAAAAGAAATTTGCTCAGTATATCAACAACAAGAGGCCAAAATCGATGTTCTATAACTGCAAAACTCAGAAACATACTTGTTATGCAAAAGGAAATTCTACTGTAGTTTTTCCTAGTTTCCCCCATCAAAACTTGCTATCTGATGTATCTGAGACTATAGACTAAAAATTAAAATTTAATGTGAAAACACATTTTGAGATAAAGGGCACGCCACCCAAAGAACTACAATAGTAGCACCTTTGTTATACCTTCTTTGTACTATAAAGTCCAAACACGAAGCTCATCTATTAATATACGGTTAAAAGTTAAAAATATACTATCATCAGAGAATTCTAACTTTAGAAAAATAATTGCTTCCTTTCTTAGGTGGCGAATTATCATTGATCTCCCTCAAGTCTAAAAAAGTTACTTTGCTAATAGAAAAGAAAGAAAAATCATGAAACTATGAAAATGGAAAATTTCCTTAATTCACCTGCTTTTAAAGGTAGTAATTTACAGGAAGGGAAGCAAATTCTATGTTTACATATGACCAAAAGACTGTGAATTTCATGAGTCCCTGTAGCCCTACCAACTACGCCTTATTTCCCATTTGAACATGGAAAATAAAATGTCAAGGAATATGAACTCAACTAGAAAGATTTAAACTTCAGGCAAAGTAAAGTTGAAAAGTAATGATTAACACCAAAGAGCAAAACTTGGGCCTCAGGATAAATCATCCTTTTCTAGGCCTCTTTTGAGGGTATATTGTGACAAGAATCTAACCAAATACCAACCCAGGGAAGGTCAAGTTGACTCCTGAGTACACTAAATGAAATAGTCCCTAAAATGCCTCTATTAAATTAGGGAATGGGAGACACTATAATAATATAGAATCCAAATTCAGACAAAGGCCATGGTACACATATCTAATTGCCTTAATTTACTTTGTTTATAATGTTACAGGAAGACAAATTACCTTTAAGCATGCTTTTAAATATTAGCTAATTTTAAATACTTTTTTAAAGTATACAGGACAAATGCTTATTTTTTGTGGAACATAAAATATAATATCAAAAGTAAAATGTAGCATTTTACCTTAGACCAAAGATATGTGATTGTTCATAGTTGAATAAAGAACGAATCTTAGCTTCAGAATTCAAAATTATAAGTCTATCAATAATATCCTGAAAAAGACAGACAAAATGAGACTGTATTTAACTGATATCATTTAAAGAAAATTAAGTCAACAACAATTTATTTAGATTTGTGGCTCTCAAATTTGCCTTTACAAGGAAATCACCTGGGGAGCTGTAAATAATAAGAAGAAGAAGAAGAAGAAGAATAATAGTATAATGCCTGGGTCCTAACCCTCAAAGTTTCTGAATTAACTGGTCTGAGTGTGGCCTAGATTTACATTAGGACTGTAAAAGTTTCCGAAGTGAATCCAGTATTCAGCCAAAGTGGAAAACACTGATTTTGACCCTACTCTGGCACTAGTGAGCACCTTATACCATCAGTTAAATACTGATAAAATTGCCAAAAATGTAAACTACTTTGAAAAACAAATATAAAATCCACAAATTAGAAGAATGAACAACGGATCAAAATGTTGTAACTAGTAACTAGATTTTCTCAATAGAGACTATCTGCCTCATGTAAATCAGTGGTTTCCAACCCTGGTTGAACATTAGACTCACGTAGGGAACTTAAGAAAGATACACAGGTGCCCAGGCTCAACCCCAGGCCAATTAAATCACTATGTCTAGGGGTGGGAATCTGGCATCAATACTCTTTTAAAAGCTCCCTGTGATGTTCCAGTGTGTAGCCAAGTCTTCAAAACCACTGATGCAAATATACACAGAACCTGATGATCTAGGTGCCAGCAGCTGTCCTAGCACTGACAATTTTAGCCAACCACACAATTTTGAACATGTTTTAAAAGGCTTTCTTGGCCAGGTGTGGTCGCTCATGCCTGTAATCCCAGCACTTTGGGAGGCCGAGGTGGGCAGACCACAAGGTCAGGAGTTCGAGACCAGCCTGGCCAACATGGTGAAACACCGTCTCTAGTAAAAATACAAAAATTAGCCAGGTGTGGTGATGGGTGCCTGTAATCCCAGCTACTCGGGAGGCTGAGGCAGGAGAATTGCTTGAATCCAGGAGGCGGAGGTTGCAGTGAGCCAAGATCATGCCACTGCACTCCAGCCTAGGTGACAAAGCAAGACTCTGTCTCAGAAAAGAAAAAAAAAAAAAAAAGGAAGGCTTTCTTTCTACAATGCCCTGCTTTTACATATATCTTTGGGTTCAGGCCTAAGAAATTTATTTATAGACAAATATATATCTCTCTCATTGCTCATTTTCCTGACCAAGAAACTTGCTACTCTCCAGTGAGTTTAAATTCAGGATATTTCTGTTACCAATAGGGCAAAAGAAGAAAGGTTTTGCTAGGGAGTAAAGTCACATAATATTTATTGAGGAATTTGTGGCTTATGGTACAAAGACTATTTCATCAAATTAAAAAAAGAGGCAAAGGAATGAGTTTGTAAAAAGAAAATAATAGATATTTCAAAATCACACTTGAAAAACACTAATCAGATACTGATCAATATTAATACAACAACTGGACTGTGGGTAGAGCTACCTAGTAAAAATTTGTACCCAACATATAAGAATATATTTACCATTCTATAGATTATTTTGTAGAAGTGTGTAAATAATACTAGCATGAGAGTTTAAATTGGTAAATATTAATAGACTACCTAGTAATGATGAATAAAAAGACTATTATTTTTAAATGAATTGTTGCTGTTATCTACTACTTTGCTGGGCACTACTTGCTTCAAACATTACAATAGAATGTGAGCTAAACAACTCATATTCATATTCCCAGCTGCACAGTCACTCTCATTAATTGCATCACAACTCTTTCTATCTCCTTTAACCTCTCTACTTTTTCCTGAATTAGCTACATGACAGAGCCACAGAGATTGCTATGACTTGCTCCAGCATCTGAATACTATTAAATAAATAGTCTTTGCCCTGGACATAGTGATGAAACTTGTTTACTATCTACCTATTCTACAAATAGGTAAATGTTTTATTACTTAATAATTATTGTAATTTTAGAGAAATGACCTATTATCACTATTTTTAACCACTGTTAATCTTCACAGAACAATCCAGAATTGATTAGGAATCATTATACTTCTTGTACCTGAGGTGAGAGAGGTTGCCAATTAGTTCTATGCATAGTAGTTTCTAAAAGTATTATAATAAATATTTCTTCAATAGTAGGGAATTCGTATAGGTGACTGAAATTTGCAGGGCTATTTGAATATAATGCAGAGCTCAAACTATTTGATAGCCACTGACATCTTGTAACTGAGATTCTAGTTCTGAATCTAAGTACTAGGTACTGTTATAATAAAAATGATAGACTGTATTACCAACAAGCTAATGGAAGAGTAGATTACAGTAATCTATCAATGAGAATGCATTTTCAAAGAACAAATGTTATGGCAAATAATTTTTTCAAAGAAGAAGATTACATTGATGTATCACCACTTAGTGAAAAAAACAAAACTCCTGGGAAGCCTCATGGAGAGCTTCAGTTTCTAAACACCATAACATGTGTCAATAAGGGAATCAGCTTCCTAAATCAAGAAGCAGCTTCCCAGCAACAAACTAGTGCAAGAAGACCCAGGACTTACAAAAAGTAGACAGAAATTCTGTATATTTTTAAAAGATACTGTCCAGCTTGAGAATATTTTCAATAACCTACTAGGTCAGACTGAGGCCATACTGGAAAAACAAAAAGGAATATCAGTTCTATATAAAGATATGTTTGAGTGCCTACTGTTTACAACTGCCCCAATAGCTAGGTTTGGGCTATGTGACTGACTTGTTTTTTTGAAGAAATAGGCAAGTGAAGGGTGAGGACAGGTCAAATGTAATGTCCCAATAGTTCCGCACTTCCACTTCTAGAAGTGGCTTATGATTGGTTAGCCTATGAATAAAACTAAGCTAATCAAACTCCTTCCTTGGGATTTTTCAACATGGAAAAGTAGAGGAAAAGGCTGCTCTCCTGTTTGGGGTTTTAGAGAGTTAAATGGTGACCCCTCACACACACACCAAAAAAAAAAAAAGATATGTCCAAGGCCTAATCCCCAGAACCTGTAAATGTCACCCTATTCAGAAAAAGAGTCATTGCAGAGGTTAAGAGTCTTGAGGTATGTATTAGCCCATTCTCACGCTGTTAATAAAGACATACCTGAGACTGGGTAATTTATTTAAAAAAAAAGGAGGTTTAATTAACTCACAGTTCAACATGGCTGGGGAGACCTCAGGAAACTTGCAATCATGGTGGAGGGGAAAGCAAACACATCCTTCTTCACATGGCAGCAGGAAGGAGAAGTGTGGAGCAAAGTGGGGAAAAGCTCCTTATAAAATCTTATGAGAAGTCAGTTGCTATCATGAGAACAGCATGGGGGAAATCACCCCATAATTCAGTTACCTCCTGTCAAGCCCCTCCCATGACACATGGGGATTACGGAAACTATAATTCAAGACGAGATCTGGGTAGGGACACAGCCAAACCATATCATCCTGGATTACCAAAGTAGACCTTTAATCTAAGACAAGTGTCCTTATAACAGAAAAACAGAGGGAGATTTAAGACAGAGAAGAAAAAATAGACATGTAAAGATAGAGGCACAAACTGGATTTATGTAGCAACAAGACACGAAACACCTGGAAAAAAAAAAAAAAAAAACAGAAATTAAACCAAAGGATTCTTCCCTGGAGCCTTGGGAGGAAGCATGGCCCTGCTGGCACCTTGTTTTCAAACTTCTGGCCTTCAGAATTGGGAAAGAATAAATTTTTGTGATTTAAAGCCACCCAGTTACCCGGTTTGTGGTAATGTGTTACGACAGACCTAGGAAATTAATAAAAGGGGAGAGGGTGAAGATATCCCCATAGAATAACAGGTAGCCCCTCCTATGGGGAATGGAGGACTATGGAATCCTCTCCTATGGAGAATACCATCTAGAGAAGAAGAGAATAATTATAGCAAATATTTATATATCACTTATTATCTGCCAGGTAGTGATCTAAAAGCATTTAGTCTTCACAACAACCCTGAGATGAAAATATTACAGCTCTTCTTAAAAAAAAAAAAAACTCACTTCATTGAGGTATAATTGACATAAATAAGCTATACTAATACTGTATAAATTTGATAAGTTTGGAGATATGTATACACCTGTGAAACCATAACCACAATCTATGCCATAAGCCCATCTATCACCTCCCAAAGTTTCCTCCTGCCTTATTGATTAGTGTGTGTGAGAGATAAGAACATTTAGCATGAGATCTGCCCCCTTAGCAAGTTTTTAAGTATATAATACTGTATTGCTAACTATAGGCACTATGTTGTACAGTAGATCTTTAGGATTTAATCATCTTGTATAACCAAAACTTCATACACTTTGACCAATACTTGCCTGCTTTCCCCCTTTCCCATCCCTAGCCACCACCATTCCACTCTCTACTTCCACGGGTTTAACTATTTTAGATTCATCATACAAGTGGTATTATGTGGTATTTGTCCTTCCTGTGTCTGGCTTATTTCATTTAGCATAAGGCACTCTTGCAACAAGAAAAAACTGAGGTCTAACTTGTTCAGGGTCACACAACTAGTAAGAGGCAGAACCAGGAAACTAATGCAGGCAGTCTGGCTTCAGAATTCAAACTCTTAACCATTATTACCCTGTGCTTGCCTTTCAACAAAGTCAACATGAAATGCAATAATAAGCAAAGGTGGAGGGCATAGGAGGACAGAAACAGAGAGACAGATGTAGACCTGACAGCACTTGCAGTCCTGTTTCCAGTTGTCCGTGCTTTTTCTGAAAGTTAGTTATATAAATCAAAAAATGTCCCATTTTGCCTAAACTAATTCAATTTGCATCTTTCTACCTAATACAATACCATGTTTACACATCATTATCGTAGAGCTGGATGGTAAGTCATAGAAACTGAAAGCAATTAAAAAATTGTGTATATTAAAGGAAAAGGGTATTTTGTATCATTCACCTTTAATTTAATAAAGTACAACTTGAGAGTTGTTCACAGGCGTTAGAATTTTGGTAGATACCTGACATGAAGCCATGAAAAGTTAAGACCTAATATCCCTAAAAGCTAAAGAATCTCTTAAAATTTAGAAGAAAAAGAACTACACAAATAGAAAAACAGGCAAAAATGAATGAAAAGACCATTAATGGATAAGTAAATGTCAATGGCTATTAAGCATAGAAAAGGATGTTCTGTTCAGATGAAAAAATACATAAATTAACATTTTTCACTTGTCAGACAAATATCTAAATTTTTGAACACATAATCTTCTTAATCAGCCTACCAGGAAACAGGCACTATAATATCTTACTGACGGGAATGCAAAAGGATTATTCTCTGTGAATGGAAATCTAGCAACAAGAACCATATACTGGAATATATTACACGTGAATTTACCTTTCAACCCAGTAATCATGCTTCTAGAAATCTAGCCTGAAGATACTGTGGTAGGCAGAATTCGAAAATGGCCCTCAAGATTCTCAGGCCTCAAACACAAATGCAAGCACTGCTGTGAAGGAATTTTTGCAGATGTAACTAAAATCCTTAATAAGTTGACTTAAAGATAGGAGATTATGGGGGTGGGCTTGACCTAATCAAACAAGCAATTTAAAAGTGGAATTTTGTCTAACTGGTCACAAAAGGTCAGAGAGATTCAAAGAATGAGAGAAATATGGTATAAGGGAAGTTCTCCAATTCTGAAATGCAAAAGGACAACAGGACAAAGACCCGAGAGTAGCCTCCAGAAACTACAAAGAAGTCCCTAGCTAACAGCCACAGAAAATTCAGGCACACCATACTGAACTTCTGACCTACAAAACTGTGAGTTAATAAACGGGTGTTGTTTTAATCCACTGGATTTGTAAGAATTTGTTATACGACAATAAAAAAAATATAGACACACTGGCAAGTACAATATAAGCCAAGGCTATTAATTTTGGAATCATTTATAATAATAAAAGACTTGAAAGAACCCAAGTGTCCACCAGTAAAAGACTGGATAAACTCTAGCACATCCACATAATGGACTATTATGCAACTGTGGGCGGGGCGGAGGGAGGGGGCGGCGAGGAAAGGATAAGAAAGAGCTCTGTATACTGCTATAGAGTCATCTCCAAGATAAGTAACAGAAAAATGCAAAGGGCAGGTGAGTATAGCAGGCTATATTTCACTTACATCTAGAGGGAAAGAAAATATGGATTTTTTAAAATTTCTAAACAGTTGTATTTATTCCAACAAAAATAAACGTCACTTTCATTTACCAGGGAAATGAAATCCCTGGTGACTTCTGAGATTCTAATGAACCCATCACCCAAGCAGTGTACACTGTACACAGTGTGTAGTCTTTTATCCCTCACCCCTCTCCTATCCTTTCCCATTGAGTCCCCCAAGTCCACTGTATCATTCTTATGCCTTTGCGTCCTCATAGCTAAGATCCCATATCTGGGTGAGAACATATGATGTTTGGTTTTCCATTCCAGTGTTACTTAACTTTGAGTAATCGTCTCCAATTCCATCCAGGTTGCTGTGAATGCCATTATTTCATTCCTTTATTATGGCTGAGTAGTATTACATGGTACCTATATACCACATTTTCTTTATCCACTCGGTGATTACCCAGCCCCATACAAGTAAAATGCTGTGGAAGACCCGCTGGAAAGACTACACCCCTCACTGGTTTGGGGAACACCACTGTCCCAGTGGAACCTTGACCACACCCTGGAGCCCCCTACTCTTCCTCTCTGGACCTGAGCCAAACTGTGAGTGTCACAGAGCAAGGATAGTATGTGCTCCACTCAACACTGCACACACAGTTCCTCGACCACAGTGCCGAGCAAATGGCAGGCACTCCCTGTGTATCTGCTGAATAAATAAATGAATGAACAAACACAACACACACACACACACACACACACACACACACACGACAAAAGGGACGTAGTTACTGACCTAACAGAAATACAAATAACAATCAAAGACTACTATGAACATCTCTATGCAAACAACCTAGAAAACCTAGAAGAAATGGATAAATTCCTGGACACATATGCCCCCCCAAGACTGAACCAGGAACAAAGTGATTCCCAGAAAAGGCCAATAACAAGCTCCGAAATTGAATCAGCAATAAATAGCCTACCAACCAAAAAAAGCCCAGGACCAGGTGGATTCACAGCTGAATTCTACCAGATGTACAAATAAGAGCTGGTATCATTCCTAATAAAATTATTCCAAAAAACTGCAGAGAAGGACTCCTACCTAACTTACCTAACTCATTCTATGAGGCCAGCATCATTCTGATAACAAAACCTGGCAGAGACACAACAAAAAAAACTTCAGGTCAATATCTCTTTTTTTTTTTTTTTTTTTTTGAGATGGAGTTTCCCTCTTGTTTCCCAGGCTGGAGTGTAGTGGCACAATCTCAGCTCACTGCAATCTCTGCCTCCCAGGTTCAAGCAATTCTCCTGCCTCAGCATCCTGGGTAGCTGGGATTACAGGCATGTGCCACCACACCTGGCTAGTTTTGTATTTTTAGTAGAGACAGGGTTTCACCACGTTGGGCAGGCTGGTCTCAAACTCCTGACCTCAGACCTCAGGTGATCCACCTGCCTCGGGCCCCCAAAATACTGGGATTACAGGTGTGAGCCACCGCACCCAGCCCAGGCCAATATCTTTGATGAACTTGATGCAAAAATCCTCAACAAAATACTTGCAAACAAAATACAGCAGCACATCAAAAAACTAATCCACCACCATCAGGTAGGCTTTACCCTTTGGATGCAAGGTTGGTTCAACATATGCAAATCAATAAACATAATCCATCACATAAACAGGACTAAAGACAAAAACCAAATGATTATCTCAATAGATGCAGAAAAGGCTTTCAATAAACTTCAACATCCTTCGTGTTAAAAACTCTCAATAAACTAGATATTGAAGGAACATATCTCAAAATAATAAGAACCTTCTATGACAAACCCACAGCCAACATCATACCATTCAGGCAAAAGCAGGAAACATTTTCCTTGAAAACTGGCACAAGACAAGGATGTCCTCTCTCACCATCTCTATTCAACATAGTATTGGAAGTCTTGGCCACAGCAATCAGGTAAGAGAAACAAATAAAGGTCATCCAAATAGGAAGACAGGAAGCCAAACTATCCCTGTTTGCAGACGGCATGATTCTATATCTAGAGAACCCCACAGTCTTGGTCCAAAAGCTCCTTCAGCTGATAAACAACTTCAGAAAAGATTCAGGATACAAAATCAATGCACAAAAATCACTAGCATTCCTATACTCCAACAATAGCCAAGTCAAGAGCCAAATCAGGAATTCAATCCTATTCACAACTGCCACAAAAATAATAATAAAATAAAATAAAATAAAATAAAATAAAATAAAATAAAATAAAATAAAATAAAATAAATAAAATAAAATAAAATAAAATAAAATAAAATAAAATAAAATACCTAGGAATACAGCAAACCAGGAAGATGAAAGAACTCTACAATGAGAATTACAAAACATGGCTTAAAGAACTCAGAGATGATACAAACAAATGGAAACACATTCGATGCTTATGGATAGAATCAATATCATTACGATGGGCATACTGCCCAAAGCAATTTATAGATTCAACGATATTCCTATCAAACTAACAATGACATCCTTCACAGAACTAGAAAAAAACTATTTGAAAATTCATATGAAACCAAAAAAGAGCCTGAATAGCCAAGGCAATCCTAAGCAAAAAGAACAAAGCTGGAGGCATCATGTTACCTGACTTGGAAGGACTATAGTAATCAAAATAGTATAATATTGGTACAAAAATAGACACACAAACCAATGGAAAAGAATAGAAAGCCCAGCAATAAGACTGCACACTTACAACTATCTGATCATCAACAAAGTTGACAAAAACAAGCAATGAGGAAAGAACTCCCTGTTTGATAAACGTGCTGAGATAACTGGCTAGCCATAAGCAGAAAATTGAAACTGGACCCCTTTTCCTTATATCATATACAAAAATTAGCTCAAGATGGATTAAAGACTTAAATGTAAAACCCAAAACTATAAAAACCCTGAAAGACAGTATAGGCAATACCATTCCAACATACAAACAGCCAAAGATTTTGCCTTTGGATGCTTGGAGTGTTGATTCACCAGCTGGAAACCTGTGTGGCCTGTGGCACCTTTGCCTGAATTTTGCTCAGGCCCACTGGGCTCATTCCACCCATTCGGCCTGGCAAGCTGTGCTCAGCTCATGCTACCAACCCAGATCCCATGCCTGCCCAGGATGAGCCAGACATGAAGTGGTGAGGGTTATGTGTGTGAGTGAATGAGCATGGGGTCCAGCCACTGCTCAAAACCAGGCAGGCCAGCTGCAGCAGGGTGGGCAGCTGCAGGCACTGGCATGGGTGCCAGCTCCCTGTGAGGCTGCACCTAGACAAGGCATAAAGCAAGCAGCTTCTACTACGGGCACCAGGGAACACAGCAGGGCCCAAAATCCTGGAGATGCCAGGAACCACAGAGCCCCAAAGAGGGTGTCACAGCCATGGATCAAGGATCTCCTAGATCTGGGCTACATGAAGGGCTAAAGCTCTTCTCTCTTTCTCTCTTCTCTCCTTCTCATTGCCCACAACAGGGTGAGCATGAGCAGGAGGCATGTTTCGGTCCTGTTTGTGTTACTGCTCTTTCAGTCCTCCCATTTGGTGGGTTCCAAGCTCTTGTCCCACATCCAGGAAGAATGAGGTATGTAGACAACTGGAGGGTGAGCAAAGCAAAGAGGTGCTTTACTGAGCAACAATACAGCTCTCAGGAGACCAGAAGTGGGTAAAGACTTTCTGCAGGCACCAGCCTGCATGTCTGCTCAGCACTCAGCTGAGAGAAGACCCACAATGTATATCTCCTCTCCACAGGCAGGTCATCCTGATGTCTGCTCAGCTCTCAGCAGAGAGGAGATGCACAGGCATAGCTCCTCTCCACAGTCAGGGTGTCCCAACATCTGCCCAAGTCTGGCTGAGTCTGGGGCTTTTATGGGCTTCAGAGGGAACAAAGTGCATGCTGATTGGTCCATGGGCAACCACAGTCAGGCTCGGAAAAAGCACTGTAAGTCCTCACTCCAGTCTGCAGAATTGGCAGCTCGGCCCTCATACTTCAGGCCAACCATGGCTTGAAGGTGGGGCTTCACCAGGGATCCACCACTATCTACCCACAGGCAGCTGAGTGCCTGCAGCTGTGCCTGGGAGGGTGGGACTCCCACCAGCATCATGGGGCATGCAGGCCCAGCCTTGTCTTCCACAATGAAGCTGGCATCATGGCAGCCACTGCTCCAGATGGGCCACCACTGCCATCAATTTCATGACAAAGACGCCAAAACCAATTGCGACAAGAGCAAAAATTCACAAATGGGATCTAATTAACTTTAAGTGCTTCCTCACAGCATAAGTATCAACACATTAAACAGACAACCTATAGTATGAGAGAAAATATTTACAAACTATGCATCTGACAAGTATCTAATATCCAGCATCTATAAGAAACTTAAAGAAATTTGCAAAAAAAAAATCCCATTAAAAGGTGGGCAAAGGACATGAACAGGCACTTTTCAAAAGAAGACATATATGTGGCCAAGAAGCATACGAAAAAAGCACAATATTACTGATCATTAGAGACATGCAAATCAAAACCAAAATAAGATGCCATCTCACACCAGTCAGAATGGCTATTATCAAAAAAGTAAAAGAGTAACAGATGATGGTGAAATTGTGGAGAAAAGAGAACACTTATGCACTATTGCTGAGAGTATAAATTAGTTCAACCATTGTGGAAAGCATTGTAGCAATTGTCCCCAAACAGCGATAAATAGAACTACCATTCAACCCAGCAATCCCATTACTGGGTGTGATGGTTAATACTGAGTGTCAACTTGTTGAATTGAAGGATGCGAAGTATTGATCCTGGGTGTGTCTGTGAGGATGCTGCCAAAGGAAATTAACATTTGAGTCAGTGGGCTGGGGAAGGCAGACCCACTGTTAATCTGATGGGAACCATCAAATCAGCTGCCAGCAAATATAAAGCAGGCAGAAAAACATGAAAAGACAAGACTGGCATAGCCTCCCAGCCTACATCTTTCTCCCGTGATGAATGCTTCCTTCCCTCAGATATCAGACTCCAAGTTCTTTAGTTTTGAGACTCAAACTGGCTCTCCTTGCTCCTCAAGCTTGAAGGCAGCCTATTGTGCCTTCTGATTGTGTAAGTTAATATTTAATATACTCCCCTCTATAGGTATATTTATGTCTATCGTATTAGCTCTGCTCTCTAGGGATCCCTGACTAATACAGATTTTGGTACCAGGAGTAGTTCTAGAGGAAGAGAATATTAAGGTTGGAATTCTTTCATTGGTTTTGGGGTTTCTGGAGGACTCTATTTCTAAAAGTATGGAGAACACTGATAGTCATTGGCGTGAACTGTTTAGAGAGTTATGCAAAATAAATGCATTTGACACTCCTGATTCACTGCTCATGAGAGGCAAGGAATTTAGTGACTCTATATGTAATACATTTGACCATATGTGGAAAACCAAGGAACATAATGAAGCTGGTTGGTTGCTTCTAAGTTCAGTGAACAAAGTGATGAAAGAAAATGATGAACTCAGAGATTCTGTCTCCTGGCTTCAGAAGAAGATACTGAGCCTCAAATCTGCTAAAATTGCCCTGATTGAGAGTTTTATCTCCTGCAGAGAAAGAGCTGAAATTGTGGCAGAACCCCCACATAGGCTCTCTGACTGCTAAGGTGAGGGCTATTATGTTGGGAAAGATAAAATAGAAGCCATTACAGCTGCCTCTACCTAGAAAAACACTAAATCAAAAATAGTATTGCATCCCTGGAGAAACTGCAAAGATTAGTGCCACCATCAAGGACTTGAAAGATGCAGGGATGAGGATTCCTAACACAGCCCCATTCAACTCTCCCATTTGGCCTGTGCAGAAGACAGATGGATCTTCAAGAATGCTACTGGATTATCCTAAGCTTAACCAAGTGGTGACTCAAACTGCAGCTGCTGTACCAGATGTGGTTTCATTGCTTGAGTAAATTAACACATCTCCTGGTATGCAGCCACTGACTTGGCAAATGCCTTTATCTCCGTTCCTGTCCATAAGGCCCACCAGAAGCAATTTGCCTTCAGCTGGCAAGGCCAGCAATATACCTTTTCTGTCCTACCTCAGAAGTATATCAACTCTCCGGCTTTGTGTCATAATCTTATCCAGAGAGAACATGGATAAGGTGAGACATGGAATCAACCTAAATGCCCATCAATGACAAATTGAATAAAGAAAATGTGGACATATATACCATAGAATACTATGCAGCATTTAAGAAGAACAAGATCATGTCTTTCATGGCAACATGGATGGAGCTGGAGACAATCTAATACACAAACAGAAAATCAAATACCACATGTTCTCAGGTATAAGTGGGAGCTAAATGATGAGAACTCATGGACACAAAGAGGGGAACAACAGACACTGGGGCCTATTAGAGGGTAGGAGGTGGAGAAGGGAGAGGAACAGAAAAGATAACTATTAGGTACAAGGCTTAGTACCTGGGTGATGAAATAATCTGTACAACAAATCTCTGTAACATGAGTTTACCTATATAACAATCCTACACATGTACCACTGAAGCTAAAATAAGAGTTTTTAAAAAAAAGAATACAAAAAGAAAACAAGATCAAGGTGTTAGGGAGGCAAATTCTATCAGGTGGTAATTTGTTGCCTATAGAAAGGGAAGAATCATAATGATTTCCAGGTTTCTGGTTCATTAAATTGTGTGGCTAATAGTACCATACACTGAGAAAAACAGGAAACAGAATTGATTTGGGAAGGAGAAAACATTACATTCAGTTGTACACAGTAAGACTAAGATGCCTGTGATTGTTCCAGATGCCCATTGTCTGGTAGGGTTCTAAATATAAAACTGGCAGTCAAGTCATATAGCTCAAAGAGTTGTCAGTGTGTAACTGAAGCCACTGAATTGGATGAGATCACTCTGGAGGCCATAGGACAAACAAAGCAAAAGAAGTCTACAAAGACAACTATGCAGGAGAGACCAGAAAAGAAGGAAGAGAACAAGAAGTAAATAATGCCACAGCCATAGAAACAAAGAATTACACTAAGGAGTGGACAAACCATGTCAAATATTCCAAAGTGGTAAATTAAGCTAAAGGAGGTGGGGATGTGACATGATTTGGTTGTGTCCCCACCCAAATCTCACCTTGAACTGTAGTTCCCATAATCCCCACATGTGACGGTTAACACTGAGTGTCAACTTGATTGGATTGAAGGATGCAAAGTTTTGATCCTGGGTGTGTCTGTGAGGGTGTTGCCAAAGGAGATTAACATTTGAGTCAGTGGGCTGGGAAAGGCAGACCCACCCTTAATCTGGGTAGGCACCCTCTAATCAGCTGTCTGTGTGCCTAGAATATAAAGCAGGCAGAAAAATGTGAAAAGACTAGACTGGCCTAGCCTCTCAGCCTACATCTTTCTCCCCTTGATATATAGATATATATATAGATACATAGAGAGATATATCCTATTAGTTCTGTCCCTCTAAAGAACGCTGACTAATACACCATATGTCATGGAAGAGACATGGTGGTAATTGAATCATGGGGGCAGTTACCCCCATGCTGTTTTCATGATAGTGAGTTATCATGAGATATGATGGTTTTATAAGGGATTTTTCCCCCTTTGCTCAGCACTTCTCTTGCCTGCTGCCATGTGATGAAGGATGTGTTTTCTTCCCCTTCCACCATGATTGTAAGTTTCCTGAGTCTCCCCAGCCATGCTGAACTGTGAGTCAACTAAACCTCTTTCCTTTTACGTTATCCAGTCTCAAGTATGTCTTTATTAGCAGCATGACAAACTAATACAGGGAGGTTCCATTACATTAGGGAATTACATATTTATTGGGTTTTGGCAGAACAATTTAAGTTAGGTAGTTGGGCAAAGATGCCAGATTATGGTGGCTTCCATGGTTGACAGAAGAGAAAGAAACATAGAGACTTAAAGCACAGACAAATTTTCCAGGAAGCTTAGGGTGGAGGGGAAGAAAGCAAACTACAGTGTGGTAAATAAAAGAAGGCATAGATCAAAAGAGTTGTTTGTTTTAAAAGGAACTCATATACATGTCTAAATCATGACAGAAAGCAGTGATCTTTCTACAGGGTTAAAATATAATGCCTTTGGGAGAAACAGAATAATATAACTGCAGTTAACTGTCTTAAGACCAAACAGAAAACAAATTTTTCCGTAAGTGGAAAGATATATTTGAATACGCCCCACAGAGATACATGAAAACTTAAGAGAACAAACATTGAAGCCATCATTTTGGACTATATCATAAAACTAATTTGTACTTGTTTCCCATAATCTAAATAAAACCAATCATATTAGAATAATTATTTTCACTGGATCCGTATAATGTGCTAGATTTATATACCTCTAAGACAGCCTACTTTCTCTAAGGTACTCCCACTGTAGTGGGAAATACAGGCACATAAATGACTAACGATAAAACTACAGGCATACCTTGTTTTATTGCATGTCACTTATTATACTTTGCAGATAATATGCTTTTTTGAATATTTAAGATGTGTAGCAACGCTACGTCAAACAAGTCTACTGGGGTCATTTTTCTAACAGCATGTGTTCACTTTGTGTCTCTGCATCACATTTTGGTAACTGTCACAATATTACAAACTTTTCATAATTATTCCGTTATGAGGACCTGTGATTGGTAATCTTTGATGTTACTATTTTAATTATTTTGGGGCACCATGAACTGTATCCAGATAAGACAACAAACTTAACAGATAAATGTTGTTCTGATTGTTCCACCAACTGGTCATCCACCTATCTTTCTCTTTCTCCTGGGGCCTCCTTATTACCTGAGACACAACAATATTAAGATTAGCGCAATTAGTAACCTTACAAAACCTCTAAGGGTTCAAATAAAAGGAAAAGTTGAGTGTCTCTCACTGTACATCAAAACCTAAAAGTGACTAAGCTTGTTGAGGAAAGCATGTCAAAAACTGAGACAGGCCAAAAGCTGGGCCTCTTGTGCCAATTAGCCAAGTTGTGCATGCAAAGAAAAAGTTCTTTAAGGAAATTAAAAGTGTTACTCCAGGAAACACATGAATAATAACAAAATGAAACAAACTTATTACTGATATGAAGAAAGTTTGAGTGATTTGAAGAGAAAAATCAAACCAACCACAGCATTCCCTTAAGCCAAACCCTAATCCAGAGAAGGCTCTAACTCTCTTTAGTTTTACGAAGGCTGAGAGAAATGAGGAAGCTACAGAAGAAAAGTTTGAAATTAACAGGTTGGTTCATGGGATTCAAGGAAAGAAGCTGTCTGAATAACATGAAAGTACAAGATGAAGTAGCAAGTGCTGATGTAGAAGTTGCAAGTTATCCAGATCTAGCTAAGATAATTGATGAAGTTAGCTACATTAAAGAGATTTTTCTTTTTCTTTTTTTTTTTTTTTTTTGAGATTGAGTCTCATTCTATCGCCTAGGCTGGAGTGTAGTGGCATGATCCTGGCTCACTGCGACCTCTACCTCCCAGGTTCGAGTGATTCTCCTGCCTCATCCTCCCATGTAGCTGGGATTACAGACATGCGCCACCACGTCCAGCTAATTTTTGTATTTTTACTAGACACGGGGTTTCACCATGTTGGCCAGGCTGCTCTCGAACTCCAGACCTCAGGTGATCTCCCCACCTCGGCCTCCCAAAGTGCTGGGATTACAGGCATGAACAACGACGCCCGGCCAAGAGATTTTCAATGCAAACAAAACAGCCTTATATTGGAAGAAGATACCGTCTAGGATTTTCATAGCTAGAAAGGAGAAGTCAGTGCCTGGATCCAAAGCATCAAAAGACAGGCGAACTCTCTTCTTAAGAGCTAATGCAGATGGTGACTTTAAGCAGAAGCCAATGCTCATTTACCATTCCAAAAATCCTGGAGCACTGGAAAATTATGCTAAATCTACTCTGCCTATGCTATATAAATGGAAAAATAAAGTAAATGACAGTACATATGTGACTGCATGGGTTTACTGCAGATTTTAAGCCTACCATTGAAAACTACTGCTCAGTAAAAAGATTCCTTTCAAAATACTACTGCTCACTGACAACACAACAGGTCACCTAAGAGCTCTGATGGAGATGTTTAAGGAGATTAATATTGTTTTTGTGCCTGCTAACATAACATCCATTCTGTAGCCCATAAATCAAGGAGTAATTTTGACTTTCAAATATTTAAGAAATATATTTTGTAAGGCTATAACTGCCATAAATAGTGATTCCTCTGACAGATCTGGGCAAAGTAAATTGAAAACCTTCTGGAAAGGATTCACCATTAAGATGCCACATCTGTGATTCACGAGAAGAGGCCAAAATATCAACATTAACAGGAGTTTGGAAGAAGCTGATTCCAACCCTAATGGATGACTTAAAGAAGTTCAGTACTTCAGTAGAACAAGTAACTACAGACATGGTGGAAATAGCAAGAAAACTAGAATTAAAAGTGGAGCCTGAAGATGTGACTGAATTGCTGCAATCTTAAGATCAAAATCAAACAGATGAGGAGTTGAGTGGTTTCTTATGGATGAGCAAAGATGGAATCCACTCCTGGTGAAGATGCTGTGAACACTGTTGAAATAACAACAAAGGACTTAAAATATTACATAAACTTAGTTGATAAAGCAGTGAGTGGGTTGAGAGGATTGACCTCAATTCTGAAAGAAGTTCTACTGTGGGTAAAATGCTATCAAAAAGTATCAAATACTTCAGAGAAATATTTCACGAAAGGTGTCAAGTGATGCAGTGAACTTCACTGTTCTCTTATTTTCAGAAATTGCCAGAGCCACCCCAGCCCACAACAACCAACACACTGATCAGTCAGCTGCCATCGACAATGAGGTAAGACTCTCCACCAGCAAAACAGAATACAACTCACTGAAGGCTCAGATGTTCATTAGCATTTTTTTGGCAACAAAGTATTTTTAATTAAGCAATAAACTTTTTTAGACGTAATTCTATTGCACATTTTAGACTAAAGTATAGTGTAAACATAACTTTTACATGGGAAAACAAAAAATTTGTGTGACTTCCTTTATTGCAATATTCATGTTATTGCGGTGGTATGGAACTGAACCCGCAATAATTCTGAGGTATACCTGTACTTAAGAAGTGCCAACATACAAGTAAGCACAAAATACAATTGAAAAACTTCAACGAAAAGAAGATAAGAGAATCTAAGTTAATGTTAAATGATAGAAGTACCTATCTTTGTATTTCACGTCATATAAGCTATTAAAAGTTTCCCAAAGTAGACAAAATTTTTAAAAATCCAAGTATTTAGGGTTAACAGGTTTAAAGGTATTCAAAAGGGCAAAACTATGTTTATGAAAAAAAAATATCACATAGGACAAAGCAACCAGAAAATGAAAAAGAATGATCAATAATAAAATTTCAATATCAAGTCTTTATTAATCCTTATATGCATATACACGTTTCTATGTGTTTAATTCATAAATGTACCCAAAGTTAAGGAACTAAATATCCCTTAATGATTAAAACAAGTTACTTATCTGTGAATATTAGTACAACATAGTTCTCAAATTAAATAAATTTGTATATACTGCCCTCATGGGGCAATAATATGTAGTTCATTCAAATATAAGCAGAAAACGCAGTGGACTCCGTGGATACAATTTATTCCTAATTATCCTAGCCAATGAAGCAGCATCACTGGTTTGACTAATAATGTAATGAGTCATCTAAAAATCACTCACATGTATACTTCTATTTATGCCAAGTATCTTTCCTGGTTGGAGTTAGCCTTGTATTCTGATAGGTCTTGGGAATGTTAGGTGACCTGGATCAAAGATTCCACGCATAGAAAATTCAAAAGTTGATATAATTCATGCATGATTAATCAAATCAGCCCTTAAATGCCATTACATAATGTTTCTTTTTTCTCTTTTTGGTCAAATTACCTTTTTACTACCAATCTCAAATAGTAGCATTTATAACAGAGAAAGATTTAAAGAAAATGACTTACAATAACACATGTTGGGACTTCACGAAGAGAATATTCTGTTTTATTAGGAAGATCTTGATTCCTTACAAGCTCATAAATAGCAGGATAGGATAACAAGTTCACCAGTGCTAAAAAAGACTAGAGGGAAAGAAAACAGTCATTTAAATGATTCACTTTTGTCAACCACATCCATGGAGAGTCATTAATGTAGTTTCCTATCTGTATGACTTTGAGGGCTCATTTTTAAATATACCTAATTCCCATACGTTTGAAATATGTACATATATAAGTACAAAACAGTTAACATGCACAGCAATAATCTATAAGCTGACAATGCATGATGTAACAACCATTACATACATACATGAAATTTGGAATATGCTTTAAAATGTCATATATCTCTTAAAAGTTTGGTTCTGACAAAAATTCAATAATCCATCTTTCTCATTCTTTGCACTTTCATATCCAATATGTAAGAAAATGCAAGGGAATAATAATTAGGGACTCTGGGGCAAGATAATAAATTCTATATATTTTTGCCCTCAGACCATGAGGCTATCTTTTAACTACATTCACTGAAAATCCAACTAACCTAAATATGATAGCTAATTTTTAAAAGCCATGCCTTTTCCTATCAAAGCTAACCCATTTTCTGGTGCAATTTTACCAATCTCTCCATGAAATATTTAAGCTCTTCACTCTCATTGCATCTTATTAAACACAACTAGAATATTTTTCTCAGGCACATTTACTCTTGGGCTCCCCAGCTCAAAAGCATGCTGTGGTTGCCCATCACTAAGCATCAAATCTAAACTCCTTAGCATGGCTTTCAAGGCACTTCTCTAATTGACACGATTCTACTCTTCACAGTCTCAAAAGCCTCATTTCCTAGTATTCCTCAGCATGAAGTCGTCACTTCAGTCAATCAAATCTGCCTGTGGTCTTCAACTGACTGCCACCTATACATACTTTTTTATCCTAGTAACACACTTCTCCTGCCCTCCACTTACTCATTATCTCACTTGATATGCTTTCAAAATATGTCACATCTGTTCTGAAGACTTTCCAATTAACTCTATGCACATCTAGAAGTCCTATGTTCTGTCAATACT
The DNA here is from genome assembly GCF_000001405.40 of Homo sapiens. Classification (NCBI taxonomy): domain Eukaryota; kingdom Metazoa; phylum Chordata; class Mammalia; order Primates; family Hominidae; genus Homo; species Homo sapiens. The sequence goes on from NC_000006.12 coordinate 121,224,327, forward strand.
TATATCTTTTGCTTGCATTATATTAATTGTACTTACTTGCAACTGTAAAGTTTACTGCTTTACATTTTCTAAAAATTTTCACTAGAGTCAGAAACTTGGAGAACCAGACATACTGAGATATTTCACTAGAACCAGAAATTTGAAAATTCAGAAAATTAAAAAGAACATTTCATTCAATCTCATTTAATAGATGAAAAAAATTGAGCTCAAGTGAAGTGGCTTGGCCAAAGACACATACTCAGAAAGTTGGTAGCAAAAATAATCTGTATTTTCTTATTTCCAGACTCAAGTTACTCATTAGAAATTATAATATAATCTTCAGACACTATTTGACACCGACACCCTTGTTCTACATCCTTCTTTGAGGACCTATGAAGTCAAGTCCATGTTATATCTCCTCCCTTAGTATGCCAAAATGCAATGTTATTTAGCACATAACAGTGGCTACATAATGAATATATTTAACACACAGTGGTTTTTAATAAAGGCTATTTCTGTCTAAAAAATGAATTCACATTAAACTTATTGAAATCATCCTTATTTTTCCCTATAATACAATATTCCCTAAAATGAAGAAGGAATTTCTAACCAATTCAAGAAGAAAATAATCCATGATTAAAAGCTAATAACTATTTGGATAGTAATGAAGTTATAAAAAATAACTGATACAATAAATTAGTTGCCATTTAATGAATGCCTCTGTAAAGAGAACACTACATGAGAAGTATGCACTATAGAAAAGGAAGAAAAAAATTGCCAAGGAAAGAATGTTTAAGAAATATGTCTATTAATTATACATAAAATGAACTGCAGAAAAACTGGAGGGTTCATAGTCACCTAGGAAACTACTGTATAAACTTCTCTAATCACCGGCTATTAACTAGAAAGATGATTAATAGAACAGATTTCATTATAGCTTTATTTTTAATCCAATTTAGTTTATCCTGAGAACACAGATGAACCAAAAAATACAAGCTAATAATGCTTTATAATTTAAATCTGCAAAGATGTTTTAATGTCCTTAATATTAATCCAGCAATATTTGGATACTATCATGAATAAATCCTTTATTTTATGTTTAAAGAATCTTTTCTACCATAATCATAAAAGATTACAAAAAAGCCTTTTAAAATGTCTATTTTGGTAGAAAAATAAATATAACCTTTATAAATCACATATATCAATAGTATATTGAGCATTTTTGTATTATTTATACATGAAGAATTCAATTGATGATTATGGAACCTCTCTTCATGTAAGAAATAAAATGATGTGGACCACATACAATCAAGGTAAGGTGTGATATGCTACTCTAAGCAAATCAAGTAAAACTTTAGGTAAAAATAATTCAACAACTGTATTCAAACTAAAACAACCTGAACAGAATTTTAAAGAAGTTTGAGAAGATTTCAGCAGCTTGTTTCTAGAAGAAATACATTCATTTCTCACACATCGGGCATTTTAAAAGATGTTAGCTTAGTGCAAAATTGTGATGTATTATGCATTTCTGGAATAAAAATATATACAATGTAATTATTGGTTCCCACAAACACACATTATAAGATGTTGCTAATATCAGATATTAACTATCTTAAAATTTAAAGTAGCACAAAACATAAATCTATGTCATCAATGTTTTGAATAGAAGAATGAGATTTTATGCAATAATGATAAGGAAACTAATGAAAAGTCAACGTTTGATATATTTTTAAGACTAAAGCATAAAATTAATTCCCCAAGTCAAGAAGTTTTCTTATAAATTAAAATCTTTCAGGTTGATAATGATCTTCTATTCACTTATTCACTAAAAATATTGTAGTGCCAGCTGCTTATCAGTAATTGTGCCAAATGCTAACGATAAAAATAGGAATAAAGGCATGGTCCCTGCCCTCAAGGACTCATAGTATAGTGCAGGACAAAATACACTATTAAATCACTTACAATAGCGCCTAAATGTTCTGACTTTACTGCAATATGGAGAGCAATGGGGGGATATAAGGATGACACTCTTCAGCAATGTAGGGAGAGGTGAAAGGTAAGTCTGTATAAGTAGCAGGCAGGCAGTCAGGCAGAGATGTGCTACATTAATGAGCAGTATCTTTATCCTCTAGGGAAAGAAAAGGGCAAAGTGTTTTCAGAAAAGTAGTGGGAATTAAATTTTACATTTTAAATAGAATGCTCTAAAGAAAAATGGTTTTGGAGGGCAGACAATATAAAGGAGTAAAGAACAAATTAGAATTTGGAAGCTGTAAGACTGTCAGAGATACATTACACCTATTAGAACACAGATGTATTAAAAACATGTCCAATAGACAGAATAATCAAATAGTTACTCATAAGGTTAGTGTTCGGGGAATACATGTCTTAGGAGTAAAGGAAAGGTCTGTGAAGACTATGTGTATAAAGTATTCTATTCTTTAAAGTAGTATGGTCACGAAGGGGAGAAGGAAGACTGAATAGTGATAATAATTTAACTGCTGTCATTATATGAGCACTTACTTTTGGCCAAATGCTATAGTATCAATATTTATACACATTATCTATTTTAATCCTTAATATGTACAACTGTAAGACCATTGTAAGGAACACCAGGCTTCTGAAGCCAAGTCTCACTGACTCTAAAGTAGGGGTGTCCAATATTTTGGCTTCCCTGGGCCACATTGGAAGAAGAAGAATTGTCTTGGGCCACACATAAAATACAGTAACAATAGCTAATGAGCTAAGAAAATAAAAATAAAAACTGCAAAAAAAATCTCATAATGTTTTAAGAAAGGCTATGAATTTGTGCTGCGCCACATTCAAAGCTGTCCTGGGCTGAATGCAGCCCATGGGCCGCAGGTTCAACAAGCTTGTTCTAAAGTCTCTGCTATGATGTAAACCACTAGAAGACACTAAGAATGCATTTAGATTCAGGGAGAGGATCTTTTGTTTGTGCTGGTGGAGTGAGAGGGATGTTACTTGTTTTTGGATGAGAGAATCAAGCCATCTTCAAATAGTTTTACATCTTTTTTTCCAATCTGTATGCCTTCTATTTTTTCTTGCCTTATTATACTTACATAATATAATGTAAATAAAAGTGGTAAGAGTCAACCAAATTTAGAGTCAATATTTTACCATTAAATATGATACAAACTGTATGTTTTCCAAACACAGCATTTATCAGATTATGGATTAAATCATTTGAATTTTTATCATAAATGTATATGAAATTTAGTAAAATGTTTCTACATATGTTGAAATAATATTAAGAGTTTTCTTTTTATTCTTTAATATGGTTAAGTCGTATTTTCATACTGAAACATTTAACCAACTTTATGTTCCTGGAATAAATCCCACTTGATCATAATAAATGGTCCTTTTATATACTGCTGAATTCCAATCGATAATATAGTATTTTAAAAAAACATTCTGTCCATATTCATCAGGCTATAGAGCTATAATTTTCTTCTTTTTTGGTGATGTTTTTATATCAGTGTTATGCTGGCCTCATAAATTAGAAATGGTTTCCTCTACCTGTTTTCTGAAAAAGCTTGTGTGAGATCAGTGCTCTTTCTCCTACAAATGTTTCATAGAATCCACTGGTGAAACCATCTGTTTTTCTCTGTGTAAGGAGGTTCTTACTGACAAATTCAATTTCTTTAACAAATGCATACCTATTTTTTTAATTGAGTCAGTTTTGGTAACCCTACTTTTAAAGAAAATTTGCCAATTAGATCTTAGTTGTTGAGTTAATGACCTAAAACAAATCATAATATTCACTTATTATCCTTTAATATCTGTGGAATCATTAGTCTTACCCCTGTTTCATTCTTGATATTGGTAATTTTGGATCTCTCTTATTTTTGTCATCAATCTAGTGAGGGGTTTATCACCTTTAATAATCATTTCCAAAAATCACATTTGGATTTGTTATTTCTCTTTAGTTTGTTCTGTTTCATTGATTTCTGCTCTAATGTTTATTATTTCCCTTGTTGTATTGGTTTTGGCTGTAATTTGCTCTTCTTTTTCTACTCCCTTTGGGTAGAAACTTGAGTCAGTAATTTTAGATCCTTCTTATTTTCTAATACAAATATTAAAGTTAAAAATATCTCTCTTAGCACTGCTTCAACTATAACCACAAATTCTGATGTATTTTTATTTGCATCCAGTTTGAAATATTTCCTAATTTCCCTTGTGACTTCTTTGAGCTACAAGTTATTTGTAAGTATGTGGCTTAATTTCCAAGTATCTTTTTTTCTAGTTTCTAGTTCTTGATTTTTAATTAATTTCATTGTGGTTATAGAATGTACTTCATATTATTCCAATTATCTTAAATTTATTTAGACTTGCATTTAGCCCAACATGGTCTATCTTTGAGGACATGCCATGTGTTCTTGAAAAGAATGCGTATTCTGTAGTCACCGAGTATAATATTCTATAAATATCAAATGGTTAATAGTGGTATTCATATCATGTAATTCCTAACAGAGAGCTCTTGATCTGTTCTATCAGTTGCTAACAGAAATGTTAAAATCTTCAACTCTGATTGCAGATTTGCCTATTTCTTCCTTAAATTCTATTTTAATACTACATATATTTTAGATATTTTATTAGGATCATACTGATTTATGATTATGTCTTTCTGGCGTATTGACCATATTCATATTATCATTATAAAATGTGTCTCTTAATCTGATAGTTTTTCCTTTACTTTATCTCTGACACTAAATGTGGCTGTGTCAGTTTTCTAATGTTTATTGCTTCTTTGTACATATTTTTTCCATCCAACTTATCTTTATCTTTAAAGTGAACTTCTTCTAGAACTCTGCCACCTGCCCCAGAGAGCCTTCTCTGTGCCTACAATTACCTCGCCTGCCCTCCCTCCATAACACCCAGTATCCTGACCTTTACAATAATCATTTTCAAAGGTTTTCTTGTGGTTTTATTTCTCAGGTGTACATATCTAGACACTATAATTTTGTCTTTCCCATTTTCAAGACTTGATATGTCATTTAAAGTTTCTTTTAATCTACAGGCATTCATCTTCTCCCTCTCCCTTCTTTTCATTTCATCTGTTGACAAGCTCAGGCCATTTGACCTGTAAAGTTTCCACCAGTCTGGATTTCAGGAAGTGCACAGTCAGGGAGCAGTTCAGCCTGTTCTTCCATCCTTTGGATATATGCAGTTTCCATATTCTGCAAACTGGCAGCTGAATCTAAAGGCTTGATCAAATTAGATACCTTGGTAAGACTAGAGGTGGTGGTTTATTCTTTCATTAGAGGGCACATTAATAATGTTTAGCCATTTCTGTTTTAATGATGTTAAGGTGACTCAATTAATTCTCGCAGACTGCAAATGATGACGTTCTACTTCCATCATTTTAAAAAAATTATTAGTTGGGATAATTCATGAAAAAGAGGCACTATCTTCACCTACTATTTGGTTACCCAGTGGTAGAGTTCTGATATGGTTTAGCTCTTTGTCCCTACCCAAATCTCATCTCAAATTGTAATCCCTACATGCCAAAGGAAGGACCTGGTGGGAGCTGATTGGATCATGGGTGCAGTTCCCCCATGCTGTTCCCATGATAGTGAGTTCTCCTGAGATCTCATGGTTTAAATGTGTTTGGCAGTTCCCCTTCACTCTCTCTCTCTCCAGCAGCCATGTAAGATGTGTGCCTTGCTTCCCCTCCGCCTTCCTTCCTGAATGTAAGTTTCCTGAGGCCTCCCCAGACATGTGGAACTATGAGTCAATTAAACCTCTTTTCTTTATAAATTACCCAGTCTCGGGTAGTTCTTCATAGTAGTGAAAATGGACCAAAACAAGTTCATACAGGAAAGGCACAATAAATGCTGTTATTTTATTAAACAAGTTTCAAGATAATCAATTGATTCTCGATCATCCTCTGAGCATAACCAATTTTTAAAAATACTATTTAATAGTTTTGCTTTCATATCCACACTATGCATCATGACTAATTAAACATACGGATGCTGATAATACTTTCTACCATTTATTGAGTGCCTACTATATGCCAAGCATTCTGCCATATACTTTTATAAATTATCACAGTTTGACATGCTAAAGGTTATTGGTAAATATATTATCATCTTTAACACTGGTTAACTACATTTGCCTACCACCTAAAATGTAATTTCATTTTGTTTCTAATTATAGTTCAGTACAGACAGTTATCAACAACCTGCAACTTAGGTGATGTTAAGCCACCTGTAATTAAAGTGAATCAGAACATATTTATTTTACTGTGTCCACAGAAAAAATAAAGTTAATTTCTTTTTTACTGGTAAATGTTATTGAAATCTGATATGTATATATCTGATATATATATATACATATATACACACACGTGTATATATACACATGTGTGTATATATATTTGCCACTTGTGCAGTGTTTTTAGTTATTTAATTTATTTTTATTTCAATAGGTTTTTGGGGAACAGATTGTATGGTGTTTCTAGTCATTTATTTTTATTTCAATAGGTTTTTGGGGAACCGATAGTGTATGGTTACATGAACAAGTTCTCTTAGTAGTGATTGCTGAGACTCTGGTGCACCCATCACCTGAGTAGTGTACCCTGTACCCAGTGTGTAGTCTCTTATCCATCACCATCCCCAACCCTTTTCCCTGAGTCCCCAAAGACTGATGTATCATTCTTATGCCTTGGTGTCCTCATAGCTTAGCTCACACATATGAGTGAGAACATACAATGTTTGGTTTTCAATTCCTAAATATTTCACTTAGAATAATAGTCTCCAATTCCATCCAGGTTCCTGGATGTTGCTGGAGTTGATTTTTGCATAAGGTGAAAGAGGAAGATCCAGTTTCATTCTTCTACATGTGGCTTGCTAATTATCCCAGCACCATTTTTTGAATAGGGTGTGCTTCCCCCACCTTATGTTTTTGTTTGCTTTGTCAAAGATCAGCTGGCTGATCTTTTTATGGCTGAGTAGTATTCCATGGTATACATATACCGTATTTTCTTTACTCATTGATTGATGTGCATGTGGGCAGTTCCATATTTTTGCAATTGCAAATTGTGCTGCTATGAACATGCATTTGCAAGTATCTTTTTTGTATAATGACTTCTTTTCCTCTGGGTAGATACCTAGTAGTGGGATTGCAGAATCAAATAGTAGATCTACTTTTAGTTCTTTAAGGAATCTCCACGCTGTTTCCCATAGTGGTTATACTAGTTTACATTCCCACTGACAGTGTAAAAGTGTTCCCTTTTCACTGCATCCACGCCAACATCTATTTTTTTTTCATTTTTTGATTATGGCCATTCTTCCAGGAATAAGGTGGTATCACATTGTGGTTTTGATATGGATTTCCCTATTAGTGATATTGCACATTTTTCCATGTGCTTGTTGGCCATTTGTGTATCTTCTTTTGAGAATTGTCTATTCACGTCCTCAGCCCACTTTTTGATATGGTTGCTTGTGTTTTTCTTGCTGATTTGTTTGAGTTCTTTGTAGATTCTGGAAATTAGTCTTTTGTCAGATGTATAGATTGTGAAGATTTTCTCCCACTCTGTGGGTTGTCTGTTTACTCTGCTGATTATTTCTTTTGCTGGGCAGAAGCTTTTTAATTTAATTAAGTCCCATCTATTTATCTTTGTTTTTCTTGCATTTGCTTTTGAATTCCTAGTCATAAAGTCTTTACCTAAGCTAATGTCTAGAAGGATTTGGTTTTTCTGATGTTATCTTCTGGAATCTTTATGGTTTCAGATCTTAGATTTAAGTGTTTGATTGATCTAGAGTTGATTTTTCTATATAAGGTGAGAGATGAGGATCCAGTTTCATTCTTCTACATGTGGCTTGCTAATTACCCCAGCACTATTTTTTGAATAGGGTATACTTACCACTTTATGTTTTTGTTTACTTTGTCGAAGATCAGTTGGCTGTATTTGGCTTTATTTCTGAGTTCTCTATTTCTGTTACATTTGGTCTGTGTGCCTATTTTTATACCAGTACCACGTCATTCTGTTAACTGTAGCCTTGTAAAATAATGTGAAGTTGGGTAATGTGATGCCTCCAGATTTGTTCTTTTTGCTTAGTCTTGCTTTGGCTATGCGGGCTCTTTGTTGGCTCCATATACATTTTAGGATTGTTTGTTCTAGTTGTGTGAAGTATTATGGTGGTATTTTGATAGGAATTGCATTGAATCTGTAAATTGCTTTGGGAAGTATAGCCATTTTCACAATATTGATTCTACCCATTCATGAACATGAAATGTCTTTCCATTTGTTTGTGTTGTCTGATTTCTTTCAGCAGTGTTTTGTAGTTTTCCCTGTAGAGGTCTTTCATGTCTTTGGTTAGGTATGTTCCTAAGTATTTTATTTATTTATTTATTTTTGCAACTATTGTAAACCAGGTTGAATTTTTTATTTGATTCTCAGCTTGGTGTTCATTATTTCTTTTTTCCTGCTGGGTTTGGTTTTGGATTATTCTTGTTTCTCTAGTTCCATGAGTTGTGACATTTGATTGTATATTTGTGCTCTTTCAGGCATTTTGATGTAGGCATTTAATGCTATAAACTTTCCTCTTAGCCCCGCTTTTGCTGTATCTAGAGGTTTTGTCACTATTATCATTTGTTCAAAAATGTTTTTAATTTCCATCTTGATATCATTGTTGGTCCAATGATCACTTAGGAGCAGGTTATTTAATTTCCATGTATTTGCATGGTTTTGAGGGTTCCTTTTGAAGTTAATATCCAATTTTATTCCACTGTGGTCTGAGAGAGTACCTGATATAATTTTGATTTTCTTAAATTTACTGAGACTTGTTTTTGTGGCCTCTCATATGGTCTATCTTGGAGGATGTTCTATGTGTTGATGAAAGAATGTATATTCTGTAGTTGTTCGGTAAAATGTTCTGTAAATATCTGTTAAGTCCATTTGTTCTACGGTATAGTTTAACTTCACTGCTTCTTTGTTGACTTTCTATCCTGATGACCTGTCTAGTGTTGTCAATGGAGTATTAAAGTTCCACACTATTATTGTGTTGCCATCTATCTCATTTCTTAGGTCTACTAGTAATTGCTTTATAAATTAGGGAGCTCCAGTGCTAAGTGCTTATATATTTAGGATTTTGATATTTTCCTGTGGGACTAGTCTTTTTATCATTATATAATATCCTTCTTTGTCTTTTTAACTGCTGTTGCTTTAAAGTTTGCTTTGTCTGATATAAGAATAGCTACTCCTGCTCACTTTTAGTGTCCACTGCACGGAATATCTTTTTCCACCCCTTTATCTTAAGTTTATGTGAGTCCTTATGGGTTAGGTGAGTCTCCTGAAGATAGCAGTACCTTGGTTAGTAAATTCTTATCCGTTCTGCCATTCTGTATCTTTTAAGTGGAGCATTTAGGCCATTTACATTCAACGATAGTATTGAGACGTGAGGTACTGTTCTATTCATCAAGCTATTTGTTCCCTGAATACCTTGGTTTTTTTGTCATTGTGTTTTTGTTAGATAGGTGCTGTGAGATTTATTCTTTAAGGATGTTCTATTTTGGTGTATTTCGAGAATTTGTTTCAAGATTTAGAGCTCCTTTTAGCAGTTCTTATAGTGCTGGCTTGGTAGTGGTGAATTCTCTCAGCAGTTGTTTGTCTGAAAAAGACTGTATCTTTCTTTCATTGATGAAGCCTAGTTTTACTGGATAAAAAATTCTGGCTGATACTGTTTTGTTTAATGAGGCTAAAAATAGGACCCCAATCCCTTCTAGCTTGTAGGGTTTCTGGTGAGAAATCTGTTGTTAATCTGATAGGTTTTCCTTTATAAGTTACCTAATGCTTTTGCTTCACAGCTCTTAAGATTTTTTTCCTTCATCTTGATTTTAGATAACCTGATGACCATATGCCTAGGCAATGATCTTTTTGCGATGAATTTCCCAGGTGTTCTTTCAGTTTCTTGTATTTGGATGTCTAGATCCTTAGCAAGGCTGGGGTTAGTTTTCCTTTATTATTACCTCAAATATGTTTTCCAAACTTTCAAATTTCTCTTCTTCCTAGGGAACACCAATTATTCTTAGGCTCAGACATTTAGCATAGTCCCAAGCCTCTTGGAGGCTTTGTTCATTTTTAAAAATTTTTTTCTTTATCTTTGATGGGTTGAGTTAATGTGAAAGCCTTGTCTTTGAGCTCTGAAGTTCTTTCTTCTGCTTGTTCGATTCTATTACTGAGACTTTCCAGTGCATTTTGCATTTCTCTAAGTGTATCCTTGATTTCCAGAAGTTGTGATTGTTCTTAATTTGTGCTCTCTATTTCACTGAAGAATTTTCCTTTCATATCCTGTATCATGTTTTTTATTTCTTTAAGTTGGACTTCATCTTTCTCTGATGACTCCTTGATTAGCTGAGTAATCAACCTTCTGAATTCTTTTTCTGGCAATTCAGAGATTTTGTCTTGGTTTGGATCTATTGCTGATGAGCTGGTATGATCATTTGGGAGTGTTAAAGAAACTTATTTTGTCATATTACCAGAATCATTTTCTGGTTCCTTCTCATTTGAGTAGACTACGTCAGAGGGAAGATGTGGGATTCAAGGGCTGCTGTTCAGATTCTGTTATCCCAACACTACTTGATGTAGTGTTCTCCTCTTCCCCTAGGAATGGGGCTTCCTGAGAGCTGAACTATAGTAATTGTTTTTGCTCTTCTGGGTCTAGCCATCCAGCAGAGCTACCGGGCTCTGGGCTGGTAGTAGGGAGTGCCTGCAAAGGGTCTTGTGATGTGATCCGTCTTCAGGTCTTGCAGCTATGGATATCAGTACCTGCTCTGGTGGAGGTGGCAGGGGAGTCACTCTGTGAGGCTCCTTGGTTGTGTTTTTGTTTAGTGTGCTGGTTTTGTGTTGCTTGGCCTCCAGCCAGGAGGTGGCACTTTCAAGAGGGCATCAGCTGTGATCCTGTAGGGAGGATGCAACCTTGCCCTAGGGACACCTGGTTAAGCATTCAGGATTCTCAGGCAGTGGGCAGGGCCATAGAGTTCCAAAGAGATTATGACCTTTGTCTTCAGCTACCAGGGAGGGTAAAAAAAGACCACCAGGAGGGGGCAGGGAGAGGCGTGTCTGAGCTCAGCCTCTCCTTGGGCGAAGTTTGCTGTGGCTGCTGTGGGGGATGGGTGAGTGGTTCCCAGTCCAATGGAGTTATATTTCCAGGGGGATTATGGCTGCCTCTCCTGAGTCATACAAATCACCAGGCAAGTGAGGAAAGCTGGCAGTCACCAGCCTCACCATGCTCTCATGCAGCTGACAGTCCTAAATGCCGGTCTCACTCCTATCTTGCCCCTCAACAGCACCAAGTCTATTTCCAGGCAGCTGGTGATCAGGGCGGAGAACTTGACCCAGACCACAAGCCTCTTTGTTGAGAAAGCAAGCAGACTCAGTTTTTCCACATCTCAGTGAGCCTGCAGCAGTGATCCAGTTCCTTCAAAGGTTCTGTGGATTCTGTCATCTTTCCTAGTATGTTCCTGTGGTAGTTCTTGAAGCAACAGTTCACGATGTAAGTCTCCACACAATGTTCTGTCTGTCTGAGCAGGAGCTGCAAGCTAGTCCTACCTCCTATCCACCATCTTAATCCTAAAGTTAATTTCTTAAAGATGGCACATAGTTGTATCTTCCTTTTTTATACATGCTGAAAATCTGTATTTTAATTAGAATATTTAGTTCATTTGCATTTAGTGTAATTATTGATATGGATGCATTTAGAGCTACTATTTTCCTACTTGTTTTCTTTTTTTCCATCCATTTCCTGTTCTTTTATTCTTTCCTCCCCACCTTATTCTGTGTTTGGTTTGTGTTTTTATTTTTGTTTTTTTTTTTTAATTGTAAAATTTATGTATGAGCTATACCTCTTTGCACTAATTTTTAGTGCTTTCCTAAGGAAGTACTGTCCAATAGAACTTTCTGTAATGATAGAAATATTATATAACCTGAATTTTACAATATGGTAACCACTAGCTACATGTGCTATTGAGCACTTATGACTAATATAATTAAGGAACTGAATTTTTAATTTTAATTAATACAAGTTTGTATAGCTGCATAGGGCAATTGTCTACCATGTTTAACAGAAGCCACAGAGGGAAGATGAAGGATGGGGACTAGAATGGACATATGTTTCTGAAGGTATCTAGTTATATATCGAAACTACATAACTGTTTTCCACAATTTAAAAGACCAAATTAGATTATAAATGAAAAAAGAATCCCTTAGGGAATAAGACTTAGAGACTAGAAGCTGGACTCTAGGGCTGTTTACTACAATGAGTTGTCATTTCTAGGTCTTTCTGTATATAGATTAGCAGAATACAAAATATTTTTTAAAAAATCCTTAGTTTATACTGACATTTCTATTGCAAAGTCAAACAAATTGAATAAAATCCCTGTAACCTTCTATTTGAATTATAAATATTTCCAAGGGATTAGGAATATTGTGCCATTTTATATAAAATGTGAGGAAGTTGAACCATATAGATTGATTTACCATTATACAATTCCCCTGTCCTTTATGCTACAGCTATCCTATGTACGATTTTATTTCTAAGTACAAAATAAACCCCACTATGTATCATAATTTTGTTTTAAAAAACCAATCATATGTATTTAAAATAAGTTAAAAGGAAAAATAATAGGCTTCTATACTCACTTACCTATTTGCAATTCCCTGTTTCCATCCTGAAAATCCAGCTATCCATCTGGTAGCACTGTCTTTCAACATGAAGAATTTTCTTCATCATTATTTGAAAGGCAGGTCTGCTGACAAATATTTTCTTAGCCTTTGTTTATTTTAAAATTTCTTTCACTTTCATTATTGGAGTATATTTTAACTATATGTAGAATTCTAAATTGACTGCTTCTGTTTCCTTTTCCATTTAGCACATTTAAGATGCTCTACTGCCTCCTGGTTTCCACTATTGTAATGAGATATGAAAAATTTTTCTGCTAATCTCTTATATGTAATATGTGATTTTCTTAAGCTTCTTTCAAAATTTTCTCTTTATCTTTGGTTTTTAGCAGTTTGTCTATGATGAGCCTTAGTGTAGTTTCCTTTATATTTTCATTCTCTACATAAATTCTCTTTGAAATTTACTAAGTTTTTCATCTATAAATTTCTACTTGTCAATAAATTTGAAGATTTTCCACTATTATTTAGTCAAATGTATTTCTGATATTCCAATTACATACATGTTAAACATTTTGACATGGTCTCACAAATCACTGAAGTTTTTCTTTTATTTCATTCTCTGCTCTTCAGACTGTATAATTTCTATTGATCTGATTCAAGTTCACTACTTCTTCTATTATGTTTAAATCTGTGAAGGCCATGTAGAAATTTTTATTTCATGTAAGTTTTTTTTAATTCTAGAATGGCTATCTGGTTCTTTTACATAGTTTTATTTCTCTACTCTGATTTCTAATTTTTTTATTCATTATAAGGATATTTCCCTTTATATTCTATTTATAATAACTGCTTTAAAATCCTAAATTCTTCATTTCACAATCAATCTGTATTAGTTGCCTTCTTCTCAAGAATGAATCACATTTCCATTTTCCTTCATATGTCTACTGATTTTGGATTGTATCCCATACATTGTGAGATACGCCATAGAGATCCTGGATTCTATTATACTCCCTGACAAAGAGTACATTAAAAAATAAATTTAGCAGTTACATTGGCCAGATTCAAACTGAACTCTCTAACACCTATGATAGGTAGCATCTGATATTTCTTTACAGTTCACAGGCATACTTGAGTGATTAGTCACATTTCTGGGCAAAGTATATACACAGAGTTTGGAGTGTCCCCTCTGTGGGTCTATTTTCCAGGGACCTCCTTTAATTTTCCACCTGCTGTGTAGTCCTAAGCTTTCTATTCTGGTGCTTCAAGCATTTTAGATTTCTATCAGTGGAGCACAAATTTTCTACCTTAAGCAAAAATCTGTTAAATCCAGAATCTCAAGAAATACCACTCTATTCATCCATATATTAACTTCCCTCTATTTTCTGCCTATTTTTGGTCATTTCAATGCTTTTAGCTACTTGATTTTTAACTTATTTTTTCCAGAATTTGTGTTTTCTATGGGAGTGAACTAGTCCAGAAAGAGAAACTTCTGAAACATTGGAGTGTTTTGCTTTTTAAGCAATCTTATGACATCTTTTGAATAAAAATTGTCTAAGCTACCATACAATCAAAGTTAGGAATCGTCACTTTATTTTAGTGAACTTTGGAGAATATGTTAAATGTAAAAAGCCATTGAATTATGATAGAACATTGGGTGACTGATTTTAAAAATTTTGTGACCTCACTCTAAATGATAGCATCTTCTCTCTGTCTGTACTTCCTTCAAATATTCCTGACAATTTTCTATTAGATTCAAGCTATAGGGCAAAACATTTCTTGGATTTTTATATTCATTGGTTGGTTGGTTGGTTTTTCTTTGTTCCAATGATTTTTTTTTTGTAACATGTCTGGTACATTATTACTCTTCATTAAGGGAGAAAAACTTTAATAGACATAAAGTAAAAGAAAATAATTCTTGCAAAATATTATTCCCACAAAACACTGGGATTTCTATCATTTGCTAAACTTATTTTGAAAATAAAAATAATAGTTTGAAAATTAAAAAGAGGAGAAATAAATATATTAAAAAGTCTGCTGGTTGTAACTGAATATGGATAAAGTATGAACGAATTCATTTCTGTGAAATACTTTTCAAATCTGTGTATTATTAGTCAAATAACTTCTTACCTTTTGACAGCTTCGGTCAATAGGATCCACTGGAGTAGTTCTGGGATGGGTTACCCTAACATCATCTCTTCCATATTCCAGATTGGACCATAATTCAGTTATAAGTTCATTAATAAACCCTAAAAAGAATTATTACTTCAAGTCATTTATAGCATAATATTTCTTTGGATTATGAAGGAAAGATATGATGATCCCTCTGATGAATCTGGTCTACTCTGACAGAAGACACATACTTGCATCTTATATAAAAAATAATCTCTTCTTGGTAGAAATTATATCTGCTATTGTTAATATACTTTTATGATACTTCATTATCATAAAACTCTGTAATAACTAAATTCTGAGAGACAATTTCCCTGGAAGACTGCTGAATTTTGAGTCCCAGCTTCTTCACTTTGGCCTATAACTTCTCTGAGCATGTTTTCTGAAACATAATAAAGTTTATACTTTGCTTTGCAAATCAGCCAGCAAAGTAAGGCAGTCTGAAATCAGACTGTGTTTTTCAGAGGTGAGGGGAGGAGAGAAAGAGGTAACAGGAGGCCAGGTAGGCATCCAAAGAGTGTATGCTCCCTTATTCCAATATAACTAATTTTTTTTTGTAATTCCATACACTAAGAAGAATTCTGCATTTCATACAACTTTTGCTTCAACCCAGTCTTTAAATTCTTACGAGTCATACTATACAACTAAACGAAAATGAATATAAAACCTGATTCTCAAATTAGTCTATTAAAAAATCAAGTAGAAAAATCATGTGGAAAAGTGTCAAACACAACATTGAATCCTAAAATAAGTAAGTTCATAACAACAATATTCGATCAGAAAGGGTCTTCTGGTATGAGAGAAAAAAATATGGGCTCTAAAATCAAGAATATTAGAGTTTAAATTCCAAATATGCCAGTTTATTAGCTGTTCATCCTTGCAAAAATCCTGTGACTTCTTGGAGCCTTAGTTCCCCCATTTGAAAATTGAAATAATGATGCCATAATCCAAGGTTGCCATGAAGTATCAACAGGACAATACATGTGAAGTTCCTAATATAGTACCTACGACATCGGAGAAGCTCAAGAAACTGTAGTCTTCCTCCTTCTGTCCTTTGAAAACTACACTTACCCCTCTCATGAAAAGTTTGAGACTCTGATGCTCAGAAGCTTAATGATTTTACCAAGGGTGAGATCTGAGATTAAATCTAGTCTCCAAATACTTCAGTTAATGTGCTCTGGATACTGCACTACATGAATTTTATTCTAAGTAGAAGAAAAAAAATTAGTGGTTCAGTTTAGGACAATTTTTTTTTTTTTTTTTTTTTTTTTTTTACCAAGAAACATGTTTCATAATACAAGTAGTCCAAATTAGTTCAGCCCAAAAAATAAATGTAAAATATACTATAGGAAAAATATTTGTATTTAAAGAGAGAATCAGTAGTGATCACTCATGTTATAATTCAACTCTAAGCCTTGAAAAAATATTGTCATAGCATCTCTATCAGGGATTATATATTGTTCAGAGCTCAGATAACCTTAATATAAGACATATTGGCCGGGTGCGGTGGTTCACACTTGTAATCCTAGCATTCTGGGAGGCCAAGGCGGGCGAATCACCTGAGGTCAGAGTTCAAGACCAGCCTGGCCAACATGGTGAAACCCCATCTCTACCAAAGATACAAAAATTAGCCAGGCGTGGTGGTGGCCTCCTGTAATCTCAGCTACTCAGCAGAATTGCTTGAACCCAGGAGGCGGAGGTTGCAGTGAGCTGAGACTATGCCATTGTACTCCAGCCTGGGCGACAAAAGTGAAATTCTGTCTCACAAAAAAAAAAAAAAAAAAAAAGACATACTAAATTTCCAATGTTTTAACTTCTTACAAATCAAATGGACAGGGAAGAATATGTACTTAACTGTCAACTTCAAAGATAATGTGAAAGCTAAGTGGTAAGACAAATGCTTTCAAGAAGAAAAGAGGGAGAAAGGGAATTAGGAAATGTTATGTAAATGAGTGTAAATTTTGAAGCATATGTAAGCCACTGACAATAAGCATTAGATAATCCTATCAGATGGGACTGTACTGAGAGAAGATGATATTCTTCTGATTTATAAGATGAAGGAAGATTCTTAAAGCATTAAGTACGTTTCTCCTGAGTTCATTATTTGCCATTGGTCCGAGGCAACAGAACAAGGTTGTATATATATCACAGAAACACAAAACCGTATTGGAATTTCATGGAAAAAGAAAGACAAAAAGAAAATCCTGTAACTTTCTTTTACATAAGGTCTAACTTAGTAAAAAGAATTTTAGAGTAAATATCCTGATACTTAATTGTGCCAGTTAAATTTTCAGTTGGCTTGCTCATTTTATCTTTAAAATAATTATAATTCTAATGAAAAGAAAACATTTACCTGACTTTTTTAGTGCAATGCCACCTGCTGCTGTTGATGCCACTCGTGTAACCAAAACTCCATAGCCAAATTTTTTATGCCTGCTGACCTAACAGCATAAATAAGGAACAGCAATGAAAAGCAACAAAACATGGCATGCTAACTAGACATTCCTTCAAGATGGTAAGAACTGCAAAAACAAACTCTGAAAAATATTTTAAAATCATACCTAAGATCTTAAAAAGCCCAAAAGTCTAGGGATATTTAGTATGACAGAAAAAAAGCTGATTACAACTCAGTGACCTTTGACCTTTGACTGTTAAAGACTAAATTATATTGTAAATTTATTTAATAGTAGAATAATAGAATGCCTCTACAAATATTTTTGTTTCCTTTAAAATGTGAGGCCTAAATCTTCACTGACATATACATTTAGACACAATAGGTTTATTTCCTTAGGAAATTCACCCAGTTTCACTACATCCAGATGTTTGATATCATAATTATAAAACATACGATAATTAACTGCATTCTTCAATTCCATCTGGTTGTTTGCAATTCTGTAAATACAGCCACAGACACTAATATCAACTCTCTAATGTTTTCCTAAAAAAAAATCAAGTTGACTATTACAATGCTATATGGTCTTTTAACAGAGGCTTAATAACTTCTTCATACACAGAAAACAGAATGATGTTCTTAATGGCTTTTAAAACCACAAAAATTCCCTTTGCCTTTGGCAGATGGTAATTCATACCTGTAATTTTTTTGCATATCGATTGAATATAAATGTCACACATTCATTGATAGCACCTGTTCTTTGAAGAAGTAGTAATCCTTTGGGGGTGGCAGCAAAATGTAGTAAATCATCTAACAAATTATCTTCCCAAGCCATACTGAAATAGGTAAAAGAAAGGTAGAGCTTTCTTTAAGATACTAAAAACTGAAAACAAAGAGTATGTCTTAGCTGAGCTTAACCCTGTTTACAATTAAAGTTACACAGTATATATTGGTTGCAAATTAATCAATAAAGGTTTAAAATTAAATAAAAACATGGTTTCTTTGGTAGTGAATTCTTTTATTCTTACATTTTCTATACCTATAATTTCTCTTCACTGAATGAAAAAAATGTTAACTGCATATGTCAGCATTTTTATTATACCCAGGTTCTCTCATCCACACACTAATTTCCTTCTATTTTCCTATTAAAATTCTGCTGTGCATGAATTCTCCAAACCTCAACACCCCATTATTTCTGTACTTTCTTTTCATTATAAAGTATCTGTCTTCTGCTTTCAAAAGCACGTGATAGATATTATCTCTTTTCGATTTTCATAGGTGTTAATTTATTTTACTTTTGGGGAAAGATATTTTTTCTCAGAACACTTCTATAAGAAAGATCAACATATATTTATAAAACTAAAATTCTAGATAACTATAAGACTGGGAATTATGGATGTTTGGAGAATCAATGCTTAGTCCAAGTGTGCTAAAACCCATGTTGCATTTGAAAACATGACACAAATACCTAATTACTTTTTACTTTCTTTGAAAATATATATAAATATATACATTAATGTCTTAGGAATAACCACTTTTTAAAAAATGGAAATACAACTTATAAATTCAAAACCAGCAGAGAAGGAAAAAATAGGTATAATGAAAATTTTATCCATCTAACACAAAGCAATAGAGGAAAGAAGCAAAGAAAATATAATTACAAAACACAAAATAAGAAAATAACCCCAAACATATGAATATCTCAAAAATGTAAAAAAAACTAAACTCACCTAATAAAAAATATAGAGAAATTTGGAGGCTGGGTAAAAATACAAAATTTGCTACTCAGAACAGTAGAAAGTAAAAGGGTTGGGGGAAGGAAAACTATGTGTAACTGATAATATTGACTGGCTGACCCAATCCCCATCTACAGCCACTTTTTCACCAACCACCATCTGGCCAGAGGTGGCCATATGAAAAGTCCAATAGGATGTTCACAAAAAATCTGATGAGAAGAGATTCCTTTCCTAAATAAAAGACAAGGCATCATGACTTTGGATCATGACAAATCTACCCTATAGTGAGAGATTATATATCAAAATATTAGTAGAGATATTAAAAGTTTTAGTAACAAAACACACACACACACAAACACACACAAACAATATCAGCATCCAATGAAGAATATATTGTCTTTTCAAGCAGACAGATTTTTTTTTCAACTGACCCTGTAATGGGTCACAAAGTAAGTTCAACCAACCTAAAAACATACATAACATGAAATCCATGTTCTCTAAAAAGAATATATATAAAAGTCAACAAAATAAAATAGTAAAAACAACTATGTTTGAAGACCAAAAAAAAAACACAGACGCACTTCCAATATTTAATGAATTAAGGAGTAAAATGAAAATAGAAATTACAAAAATATTTAGAACAGCTTAATAATGGAAGTATCACATATCAAAATGTATTCATTGCTACAGTTAATATAGATTGCTTCTCTCAACATCCATTCTCAAACCCCTTCCACTTACTTTCCTCTACTATAAAGGCAAACGAGGGAGTAAGAGAGGGAGAAAAGCAAGCATTAACAAGACCAAAACCTAGTCTGCATAAACTAATGCAATAAATTGGTCAAGAAGGGGAGAAAAGGACAAAAAATACTAAGAATCCAAAAAGGGGAAATAATTACAGCAGGAAAACAATTACTTTTAAATCACACACAAATATTTTTTAAAAATTTATATAATAAATAAATATACAAGTAAAAAAGTATTGTTATTTTTTAGAAAATGTAATCATAAGTCATTCAAGCAGAAATAGAAAATCAGAATGAGACATTACCCATTAAAGAAAATGAATCAATAAAAGAAGTCTATGTGAGTCCTCCCAAAGAAAACAGAAGCAAAAACTTCCAAGTTGTATCATTATATGACGTGAAAGAGTACACATATGTCCTTTGTGTTAAGCTACCAGGGCAGGTGGAGAAATACCACTAAGTGGGGGCAGGGTCTGAGCTCAGACTCCTTAGGTGGGACCTGCTGTGGGGGTGGTTTTCAGGCCACTGAGGTAAAGTTCCAGAGGGGAGTATAACTGCCTCTGCTGTGCTGTGTTTTTAGTTTGAAATCCTCTACTATGATTTGTCACTTTTTCATTTTTATTCATGCACTTATTTTCTACTCACTTATTAAATTACTTATTGGGCCAAGTGCTCTGCTGAGTTCTGAAGATACACATGAGCATATTATGTAGTGTAGAATACAAATAAGTAAATATGGTATGGCAATACAGTATGCTAAATTTATATGATATGGGTTATGCAGGGTCCATTGGGAGCCAATTTGTGGGAGAGGTCTTTCTGGAAGTTATTGTCCAATACGTTATAAAGAATATATAGCTTAACACAAGGGACATAAACTTTTGGGAGCTTTATGGCCTTGCCCATCACCTAAGAAATCAGAACACTTGTCCTGGCCAACTTAAAGCAAACTTAAAACTCACTGCTACTATCACAGCTGGTACTCCTCTTGCAAGTGCCACTTCCTGGCTGGAGGCCAACAAACTCAGGCCATTACAGCACCTCACTGCAGTGTAACACTGTGCCTAGGAAGGAGAAAATGGCTGTGGGACTTCAGCTAACACCACTGCCTGCAACACCCTGGCTACCCAGAAGTCCTGAGTCTGTCCACATGACAAATCACTACAATTATAACCCACCTTCAAGAAAGCCAGCACATTAAGACTATCTACAATCAAGGAATCAGAGAGTCTACATCTACCAGAGCAGGTGCTGGTATCCACTGCTGGGAGACTTGAAGACAGGTCACATCACTGAATCCTTTGCAGATATTCACAGCACCAGCCTGGAGCCTGGCAGCCCTACTGGGTGGCTAGACCCAGAAGAGCAATAACAATCACTGCAGTCCAGCTCTCAGGAAGTCCCATTCTTAGAGTAAGGAGGAGAGCACCACATCAAGGGAACACCCTGTGGGATGAAAGAATCTGAATGGCAGGCCTTGAGTCCCAGATCTTTCTGCTGGTGGGAAATTTCTTACATCACAAACATAATTGCAGTGCTGGGCACAGTAAGGAAAGTCTACCTCTCTATCCAATAGGCAGACAGCCTCTGTGATAATGGTCTTGGAGAAGGGATCCTTGGTCCCCCCGGTACATTACTGCAGACAAAACTGAGCCTTCTTTCATGGGAACGGAGCATGGATGCACCTACAGACAGCCTTCCTAGAACAATTCAGGGTGACTTCAGCCCCACGGGAGGAGCAAACTCCCCTCCCCCCATCCCCAGATTCAGGCCTGCACAAGAGGGAGAGTGACTATTACTCCCTACTTGAAACATCAACATTCCCACAGATGAAAAGAGGTGTGTGTCTGGTCTGAATAGCTGAACACTGGAACAGTTGTGAGGCTGTAAGGTGGATAGATTTCCTGCTGGCCTGGGAGGGAAGCTGAGGTAGCTCCTACCCTTTGCCCTAATAAAACCTCAGTACATCTAATTGAGAGCTCCCCCAGTCACCACCATCATGGCTGGGACCTCTGACCACTATTGGGTATTACATCTACTCACCTGCCTTAGCTACAACTGGTGCATACCCAGGGGTGCCTCTCCTATTAACCTGAAGCCCAAATCCTCAGTAAATAAAATACTGGAGAAAAATTAAATAAATAAATAAAGTGTACAACACAGGAGAATGAGATAAGCCTCAGGAGATCCCTGCCATTCCAGTCCTGCCGGAGACAGTGAACTTGCCCACACACCAAGTATATAACTACTACAACTGGCATCTGGGAAAGACAGTGCACAAAGATTCTCCATAACTAAAGAAATCACACCGACTCTTCAACCTAAAAGCACGAAGAATTAAATTAGGCTAAAATGAACAATACACATTAAAGTCAGATCCTTAAGAGAAAAAAAATTTTTCTAATCCGATCAAAAATAAATTCAAAAAACAAGTTGAAGAAACAGTCTACCCAAATGAAAAAAGTAATTCTGGTAATTTGACATAAAAGGGTTCTGTAACACCCCCAAAAGGTCACAGTAGGCCCCAGCAATGGATCCAAACCAAGAAGAAATCTCTGAAATGCCAGGTAAATAATTCGGGAGGTTGACTATTAAGCTACTCAAGGAGATAACAGAGAAATGCAAAAAACAAGTTAAAGAAATTTAAAAAACAATTCAGTATATGAAAGAAAACTTTTCCAGAGAAATAGATATAATAAAGAAAAAAATCACAATTTCTGGAAATGAAAGACACACTGGGACATAAAAAATACACTGGAAAGTTTCAACAACAGACTAGAACAAGCAGAAGAAAGAATATGAGAGCTCAAAGAAAAGGTTTTCAAATTAACACAATCAGACAAAGACAAAGAAAAACTCTCCAAGAAATATGGGATTATGTAAAATGGCCAAACCTATGAATAACTGGTGTTCCTGGGGCAGAAGACAAGTCTAAAAGTTTGGAAAACTCATTTTAGGGAATAATTGAGGAAAAGAAGCTCAAAGAACACCTGGAAAATTCATTGGGAAAAGATCACCACCAAGGCACATAGTCATAAGGTTATCTAAAGTCAAGATGAAGGACAGAATCTTAAGAGCTCTGAGAAAAAAGCATCAGGTAACCTGTAAAAGAAAACCTATCAGACTAACAGTAGATTTCTCAGTAGAAACCTTACAAGCCAGAAGGAACTGGGGTCTTATTTATAGCTCCCTTAAGCAAAATAATTGTCAGCCAATAATTTTGTATCCAGCAAAACTAAGCTTCATAAATGAAAAACAGATAAAATCTTTTTCAGACAAACAAATGCTAATTAAATTTGCTACCACCAAACAAGCACTACAAGAAATGCTAAAAGGAGTTCTAAATCTTGAAATAAATCTTGATATACACCAAAATAGAACCTCCAAAGGCATAAATCTCACAGGGCTTATAAAACATAACACAATGAAAAAAAAAAGTATCAAGGCAAAAACTAACATGATGAATAAAAAAGTACCTCACATCTCAATATTAATGTTGAAAGTAAATGGACTAAATGCTCCACTTCAAAGAAACAGAGTAGGAGAATGGATAACCACCAGCAAAATATCTGCTGTCTTCAAGAGACTCACTTAACACATGACTCACATAAACTTGAGGTAAAGGGGTGAAAAAAGACATTCCACACAAATAGAAACCAAAACCAAGTAGAAGTAGCTATTCTTATATCAGATAAAACAGGCTTTAAAGCAAAAAAAAAAAAAAAAAAAAAAAGACAAAGAAGGACATTATACAATAATGGATTAGTACAACAGGAAGATATTAAAATCTTAAATTTATATGCACCTAACACTGGAGCTCCCACATTTATAAAACCATTACTACTAGACCTAAGAAATGAGATTGACAACAACACAGGAATATTGGGAGACTTTAATACTCCACTGACAGCACTAGACAGGTCATCAAGACAGAAAGTCAACAAAGAAAAAATGGACTTAAACTATACTCTACAACAAATGGACTTAACAGATATTTACAAAACATTCTACCCAACAACTGCAGAATATGCATTCTATTCATCAGCATATGGAACATTCCCCAAGATAGACCACACGATAAGCCACAAAACAAGTCTCAGCAAATTTAAGAAAATCAAAATTATACCAAGTACTCTCTCAGACTGCAGTGGAATAAAATTGGAAATCAACTCCAAAAGGAACCCTCAAAACTATACAAATACATGGAAATTAAACAATCTTTTCTTGAATGATTTATAGTTTAACAAAATCAACATAGATATTAAAAAATCATTTGAAATAAATGATAATAGTGACACAACTTGTCAAAACGCCTGGGATACAACAAAAGCAGTGTTAAAAGGAAAGTTCATAGCATTAAATGCCTACATCAAAAAGTCTGAAAGAGCACAAATAGACAACCTAATGTCACACCTCAAGGAATTAGAGAGACAAGAACAAACTAAACCCAAACCCAGCAGAAGAAAAGATATAACCAAGATCAGAGGAGAATTAAATGAAATTGAAAGAAAAAAATACAAAAGATAAATGAAGGAAAAAGCTAGTTTTCTGAAAAGATAAAACTGATAACCATTAGCAAGATTAACCAAGAAAAAAGCAGATCCAAATAAGCTCAATTAGAAATAAAACTGGAGTTATTACAGACAATATCACAGAAATATAAAAGATCATTCAAGGCTACTATGAACACCTTTATGTGCACAAACTAGAAAATCTAGAGGAGATAAATAAATTTGTGGAAATATACAACCATCCTAGATTAAATTAAGAAGAAACAGAAACCCTGAACAGACCAATAACAGCAACAAGATTTAATCAGCAATTAAAAAAAACTGCCAACAGAAAAAAGTCCAGGACTAGATAAATTCATAGCTGAATTCTATCAGACATTCAAAGAGAAACAGTACCAATCCTACTGAAACTATTCCAAAAGATAAAGAGAGAATCCTTCCTAAATCTATCTATGAAGTCAGTATCACCCTAATACCAAAACACAAAAGGACATAACATAAAAAGAAAACTACAGACCAATATCTCTGATAAACACAGATGCAAAAAAATCCTCAAAATAATACTTGCTAATCAAATCTAACAACATATCAAATAGGTAATACACCATGATCAAGATAGGTAATACATCATGATCACAATGTAGGGATGGTTTAACATACACACATCAGTAAATATGATATATCACATAAACGGAATTAAAAACAATAAAATTATTATTATTATTATTATCTCAATAAAAACAAAAAAAGCATGTGATAAAATCTAGCACCCCTTTAGATTAAAACCCTTAACAAAATAGGCATAGACAGGACTTACCTCAAAGTAATAAAAGCCATACAGAACAAACCCACAGCCAACATCATAGAGAATCGGAAAAAGTTGAAAGCATTCCCCCTGAGAGCTGAAAAAAGACAAGGATACCCACTTTCACCACTTCTATTTGACATAGCACTAGAAGTTCTAGCCAGAGCAATCACACAAGAAAAAGAAATAAAGGGCATCCAAACTAGAAAAGAGGAAGTCAAACTGTCACTTTCTGCTGATTATATGATCATATACCTCAAAAACTCTGAAGAGTCATCCAAAAAGCTCCCAGATCTGATAAATAAATTCATTCAAGATTCAGGATACAAAATCAAAGTACACAAATCAGTAGCACTGCTATACATCAGCAACAACCAAGCTGGGAATCAAATTAAAAACTAAATCCCTTTTACAACAGCTAAAAAACAAAAACAAAAACCAAAACAAAACAAACTTTAGGAATATACTTAACCAAGGAAGTAAAGATCTCTACAAAAAAAAACTACAAAACACTGTTGAAAGATATCACAGATGACACAAACAAATGAAAACACATCCCATGCTCATAGATGGGTAGAATCAATATTATGAAAATGACCATACTGCCAAAAGCAATCCACAGATTCAATGCAATTCCCATAAAAATACCACCATCATTCTTCACAAAACTAGAAAAAAAAATCTCAAAATTCATATGGAGCCAATAAAGAGCCCACACAGCCAAAGCAAAACTAAGCAAAAAGAACAAATCTGAAGGCATCTCATTACCCACCTTCAAATTATTATACAAGGCTATAGTTACCAAAACTGCATGGTACTGGTATAAAAATAGGCAAGTACGAATTCTACCAGAGATACAAAGAGAAGCTGGTACCATTCCTTCTGCAATATTCCAAACAATAGAAATAGAGGGACTCTTCCCTAACTCATTTTATGAGGCCAGCATCATCCTGATACCAAAACCTGGCAGAGACACAATAAAAAATGAAAATTTCAGGCCAATATCCCTGATGAACATGGATGTGAAAATCCTCAATAAAATACTGACAAACCAAATCCAGCAGCATATCAAAAAGCTTATCCACCATGATCAAGTCGGCTTCATTCCTGGGAAGCAAGGATGGTTCAACATATGCAAATAAATAAAAGTAATCCATCAAATAAACAGAACCAATGACAAAAATCACATGATTATCTCAACAGATGCAGAAAAGGCCTTCGATAAAATTCAACACCCCTTTATGCTAAAAACTCTCAATAAACTAGGTATTGATGGAACATATCTCAAAATAATAAGAGCTATGTATGATAAACTTACAGCCAAGATCATACTGAATGGGCAAAAACTGGAAGCATTCCCTCTCAAAACTGGCACAAGACAAGGGTGGTCTCTCTCACCACTCCTACTGAACATAGTATTGGAAGTTCTGGCCAAAACAATCAGGCAAGAGAAAGAAATAAAAGGTATTCAAATAGAAAGAGAGGAAGTCAAATTTTCTCTGCAGATGACATGATTATATATTTAGAAAACTCCATCACCTCAGCCCAAAAACTCTTTAAGCTGATAAGCAACTTCAGCAAAGTCTCAGGATACAAAATCAACGTGCAAAAATCACAGGCATTCCTATACACCAATAATAGACAGAGAGTCAAATCATGAGTGAACTCCCATTCACAACTGCTGCGAGGAAAATAAAATACCTAGGAATACAACTTACAAAGGACATGAAGGACCTCTTCAGGGAGAGCTACAAACTACTACTCAAGGAAATAAGAGAGGAGACAAACAAATGGGAAAACATTCCATGCTCATGAATAGGAAGAATCAATATTGTGAAAATGGTCATACTGCCCAAAGTTATTTGATTCAATGCTATTCCCATCAAGCTACCATTGACTTTCCTCATAGAATTAAAAAAAAACTACTTTAAATTTCATATGGAACCAAAAAAGAGCCCACTTAGCCAAGACAATCCCAAGCAAAAAGAACAAAGCTGGAGGCATCATGCTACCTGACTTCAAGCTATACTACAAGGCTATGATAACCAAAAGAGATATATAGACCAATGGAACAGAACAGAGGCCTCAGAGATAACACCACATATCCATAACCATGTGATCTTCAACAAACCTGATAAAAACAAGCAATGGGGAAAGGATTCCCTACTTAATAAATGGTGCTGGGAAAACTAGTAGCAATATGCAGAAAACTGAAACTAGATGCCTCCCTTACACCTTATACAAAAATTAACTCAAGATGGATTAAAGACTTAAACATAAAATCTAAAACCATAAAAACTATAGAAGAAAACCTAGGCAATACCATTCAGGACATAGGCATGGGCAAAAACTTCATGACTAAAACACCAAAAGCAATTGCAGCAAAAGCCAAAATTGACAAATGGGATCTAATTAAACTACAGAGTTTCTGCAAAGCAAAAGAAACTATCATCAGAGTGAACAGGCAACCTACAGAATGGGAGAAAATTTTTGCCATCTATCCATCTGACAAAGGTCTAATATCCAGAATCTATAAGCAACTTAAGGAAATTTACAAGAAAAAACAACCCCATCAAAAAGTGGGCAAAGGATATGAACAGACACTTCTGAAAAGAAGACAGCCAACAAACATATGAAACATATTTATGCGGCCAAGAAACATATGAAAAAAAGTTCATCACCACTGGTCATTAGAGAAATGCAAATCAAAACCACAGTGAGATACCATCTCATGCCAGTTAGAATGACAATCATTAAAAAGTCAGGAAAAAACAGGTGCTAGAGAGGATGTCGAGAAATAGGGACGATTTTACACTGTTGGCGGGAGTGTAAATTAGTTCAACCATTGTAGAAGACAGTGTGACGATTCCTCAAGAATCTAGAACCAGAAATACCATTTGACCCCTCAATCCCATTACTGGGTATATACCCGAAGGATTATGAATCATTCTACTATAAAGACACATGCACACATATGTTTATTGCAGCATTGTTCACAATAACTAAGACTTGGAACTAATGCAAATGCCCATTAAAATGACAGACTGGATAAAGAAAATGTGGCACATACACAACATGAAATACAGCCATAAAATGAATGAGTTCATGTCCTTCGCAGGGAGATGGATGAAGCTGGAAACCATCATTCTCAGCAAACTAACACAGGAACAGAAAACCAAACACTGCATGTTCTCACTCATAAGTAGGAGTCAAACGATGAGAACACATGGACACAGGGAGGAGAATATCACACACCAGGGCCTCTCAGGGGGTGGAGAGCCAGGGGAGGGAGAGCATTAGGACAAATACCCAATATATGCAGGAATTACAACCTAGATGACGGGTTGATGGGTGCAGCAAACCACCATGGCACATGTATACCTATGTAACAAACCTGCATATTCTGCACATGTATCCCAGAACTTAATGTATAATAAATAAAAAAATAAAAACAGACATGTAGACCAATGGAACAGAATAGAGAACCCAGAAATAAAGCCAAATACTTACAGCCAACTGATCTTCAACAAAGCATAAGAAAAAAACATTAATTGGGGAAAGGACATTATTTAATAAATGGTGCTGGGAAAACTGGCAAGCCACATGTAGAAGAAAGAACCAGATCCTCATCTCTCACCTTATATAAAAATCAACACATGATGGATCAAAGACTTAATCTAAGACATGAAATCATAAAAATTCTAGAAGATAACATTGGAAAAACTCTTCTGGGCATTAGCTTAGGCAAAGAATTCATGACTAAGACCTCAAAAGCAATTGCAACAAAACCAAAAATAAATAAATGGGACATAATTAAACTAAAGAGCTTCTGCACAGCAAAAAAAATAAGCGGAGTAACCACAACCCAATGTGGGAGAAAATATTCACAAACTATGCAATGTCTAACAAAGGACTAATTTCCAGAATCTACAAAGAAGCCAAAGAAATCAGCAAGAAAACAAAAAACAAATAATCTCATTAAAAAGTGGGCAAAGGACATGAAGAAACAATTCTCAAAACGTACAAACAGCCAACGAGCACTTGAAAAAAAATGTTCAACATCACTAATCATCAGGGAAATGCAAATTAAAACCACTTATTCCCGCAAGAAAAAAAGGCCGTAATTAAAAAGTCAAGGCCGGCACGGTGGCTCACGCCTGTAATCCCCGCACTTTGGGAGGCCGAGGCGGGCGGATCACGAGGTCAGAAGATCAAGACCATCCTGGCTAACATGGTGAAACCCCGTCTCTACTAAAAATACAAAAACATTAGCCGGGCGTGGTGGTGGGCGCCTGTAGTCCCAGCTCCTCAGGAGGCTGAGGCAGGAGAATGGCGTCAATCTGGGAGGCGGAGCTTTCAGTGAGCCGAGATCACTCCACTGCACTCCAGCCTGGGCGACAGAGCGAGATTCCGTCTCAAAAAAAAAAGTCAAAAAAACAATAGATGTTGGTATGCATGTGGTGGGACACTTTTATACTGCTGGTGGGAATGTAAACTAGTACGACCACTATTGAAAACAGTATGGAGATTCCTTAAAGAACTAAAAGTAGAACTACAATTTGATCCAGCAATCCCACTACTGGGTATCTCACTCAAAGGAAAAGAAGACATTATATGAAAAAGACATAGGCACAAGCATGTTTATAGGAGCACAATTCACAATTGCAAAGATATGAAACCAATCTAAGTGCCCATCAACCAACAAGTGAATAAAGAAAATGTGGTACATATATGCCATGGAATACTACTCAGTCATAAAAAAAAAAGGAAATAATGTCTTTTGCACCAAGTTGGATGGAGCTGGAGGCCGATTTTTCTAAGTTAAGTAACTCAGAAATAAAAATCCAAATGTCATATGTTCTCACTTATAAGTGGGAGCTAAGCTCTGAGGATGCAAAGGCATAAGCATGATATAATGGACTCTGCGGGTACAGAAGGAAAATTTGGAAGGAGGGTAAGGGATAAAAAATTACATATTGGGTACAGTGTACACTGCTTGAGTGATGGATGCACAAAAAGCTCAGAAATCACCACTGAAGAATGCATCCATGTAACCAAAAGCACCTGTACCCCAAAAACTATTGAAATAAAAATTGAAATCACTACTGAAATTAAAAATGAAAATTAATTATTAAAAAATGAGATCTAAAAATTACCTCAAAAATAAACTATAGAAATGCATTTTTGTCACCCTTTAATGCAAAAAACAAAGCAGCTCATTGTGTGACAACTATATTAGAAAATAAATTATAGAAAATGTTTAGGGAATTAACTATTTGTTGAACCATTATACTGTTAAGGAAATGCAGAAGGCTTTTTGATTGTTTTGTAAGTTAAACTATACCTACCTTAAAAAAATTCAAATTCCACTTCAACATCTCTTTAACAAAGAATAGCCCTTCAAGTTCTCCCTAATTATTATCATTTTAGACTATGCCAATATTTGATTATAAAATAAGAACAGAACCCAGAAAAACATGTTGCCCGAGTTTAGTTCAAAAAATCTATTTTCCCCATTAATCTGACTCCATATCCTACTGATATCTGTAAAGAAACATGGAGACATATAAATTAAAATTTGATATAAATATTGATTTAAATAATTTTCCAAAGCCAAAACCTAACTGAAATGTACTCCCACCACTTTTAGAAAAATAATATTTTAAATATAAATAGACTTCATTGGCATTTGAGAACATATTATTTCTACTAAACTCTCCAGTTAACTTTCCAACTTTGGTATTTGGTAATTCTCCAAATTTTCTGGAAACACGATAATATCACATTTCCTAATCTAAGATGTAAAAACAGAATGAAACAAGTATAATAAATATTGTTAGATTTTAAAAAGGTTATGAGTATTACATGATCTCTAAAGTTTTTCCAAACTAATTTTCCTTGAAGCTGTATATATACATTTACCATCCTGTAAAACATTTTTGCCATAGTATTCTATTACATTTTAATAATTTTAAATTTATTTCAGCAAATATAATAAATGCATGACTTTCATCAATTGTACTTACATGTTTTGGGATTCCTGGCTTACTGAAGAAACAGAATCAGAACCCTCTACTGGAGTAGGAATTCTTTCTGATAGCAAACTTGTCTAAAAAATAGTAGAATAATTTATATTGCTTACTGATAGCACTAGCCATATATTTATATTTTATAATTATATTTATAATTATATTTTATAATTATATTTATAATTATATTTTATATTTCTTACTGATAGCACTACCCATAAGATTTCTTATGTTGCATTTTTGTTTTATCCTTAATGTTATTAAAATCAAAATTATCTTCAAATTTTAAATTATTTGGTTGTTAATGAAATATCATATAACATATTTTACAAATAAACCATATCAAATGGGGGGAAAAGACTTAGTTGTCCACTGATATACACATATATGGCTATTGCTACATTACGATCTCTAGTATCCACAACAAAAACCCAGCTGTCTCTAAAAATTACTTTAAAATAACTCCCAAAGAGTGTTAGTCTATGTAAGGAAAATTAACCTAAAGCCTCATCTACGAGAAGAAAAGAATCTGTAGTACCCATTTAAGTCTTAGAACTTTGTCCCACTGGGAAAGGAAATACTGCAGTCATCCTGTGCCAAATTAAGATGCATTATGTCCCCTAGAGTACTGTGATGCTAAAGAAGTCATATTTGCCCCAGTTAAATATTTCATCCAAAGTACAACACTATAATGGTGCTTATATTTGAAATAAAGATTTGCAGGGAGAAAAAACGAAGCTTGAAAATACTTACCTTTTTCCATGCCTTTGCTATAGATTCATGCAAATTATAAGTGATTAACACCTGCAAACCTTCACATGTACTATATATGTGACGACACACAGAAATAAAAGCTCCTTTAACCACAGGCAACATTTCTGATCCAGAAAATATAGAAATATCTTCATCGAGAAGTTTTTTCGAAAACTGGGCAATTATATGAGCACCTGTAGGACTAAAAGATGATACCTGAAAGTGATTCCAAGGTTATATTAATCTTGACTTCATAAAGCTCTACCAAAAAGGCTAGTCTTGTCACAAAAACTTAGTCCTCCTCTAACTTTTCTCAGACATGTCAATATTCACGTTCCCACCCATGCACAGATGTCTAGTAATGAGAACAGTTTCCGTGGGATGGAAGGAAAAAAATACAGAGACAGGGAAAAAGCAGGAAAACTTTACAATGAAAAGATTATAGACGCATTGAGACCACAGCCATGTAGATAAGTATTGTCAATTCTACAGTGAAAACATAATCCTAAATGCTCCATTCCTAGCACTTATTGACACATTCCCCATCCCATTAACAGGACTTAGTTCCCCTATATCAAAGGCTGAGAAACTTTTTTTTTTCTTTTTTTTTTTGAGATGGAGTGTCCTCTGTCAACCAGACTGGAGTGCAATGGCGCGGTCTTGGCTCACTCTGCCTGCTGGGTTCAAGCGATTCTCCTGCCTCAGCCTCCTGAGTAGCTGGGATTACAGGGGCATGCTACCATGCCTGGCTAATTTTTGTACTTTTTTAGTAGAGATGGGGTTTCACCATATTGGCCAGACTGGTCTCGAACTCCTGACCTCAGGTGATAAACCCGCCTCAGCCTCCCAAAGTGCTGGGATTACAGGTGTGAGCCACCATGCCCGGCCGGCTGAGACACTTTTAAAAGTAATAATAGATAAGTATTTAATAAATGCTCAGAATTTACACAAGTTCAATGGTGCGCATTAGATTGTTGTAGTTACAGGTCCTAATATTTTTCCCTATGCCACTGATTTGTTGGAAAAACAGTCATGTTTATTTGGATAACTACTTTACCATGGTGTCATTTAACTTTTTTCTCTAGTTCTCCATATATCCTATAAAGTGATCATCAGATCTAGAGAATTATTTAAAGTTTAACTTCTTTTGTTTCGTTTCCTTTTTTTTTCCTTGGTAAAATAACTTCATAGTTGGTTGCCGCTGTCTACCTCCTACTGCATGAAGCACTATCTGGATGTCCCAATTTTAGTGGTGCTAAAGATCACTGGTCAGATGGTATCACACTGACCTCTCTAGTACGTAGTCCTCCCCATCAACCTTTCACCTAATGATTTTAGCATCCATTAATGATCATTGCCTACATCCACTATTTCACTAAGGATTACCAAATTACGATTTTTCTGATTATAGCATTTAGTTTGCATTTATTAGCTAGAATTCTTCTGTGAAGAACTTTTCCTCAGTAACATTTTAGTTACACTAAAATACAGTTTGTAAAGAAAAGGCTGGAAAAAAATGCTTAAATTTTCTTTTTATCAATTTGCATACTAACAAGTTGGTGTCCTAGTGACTTCAGCAGGTAACCGATAAAGTGTATTTTTTGTTTGTTTTCTGTTTTAGTGCCTTTTCAAACCCATGTTTTTTTTTATATACTTTATGTATGTCAATCCATTGCAGTCATTATTTTTCTGATTCTCAAATTGTCCATCTTAAGCCAGTAGGAGGCCCCTTCTGGTTGGCTCTGGGGTACTTTTGACACTATCCCATTGGTCTTAGATAGCTTCTAAAATGGTAAGATACCCCAGGATCATCCTCCATACTTCCTGGCCCAGACCCAGAATCAGCCACTCCTGTCTCTTCTTAGAACAAAAAGATGTTTAGACAATACAGATAACAGCTCACAGTAAAGTAGTTGCTACCATTCCAGTGATAGTGCTGGGAAAAATATAACAAGAGAAAAATAAGTTCATAATTTTATTTCTATTATGAAGATTTAGGTTTCTTATTTAACCTCTTTAACTTTATACTTTTATCTTTTTCTCTTATATTAAAAAATCTTAGTTCCTTATGACATTACTATAATTACTTATTTGCTCTGTTATAATTATGTATAATAATTTCAAAACAGCAACAGCAATATTACTTCTAAACATACACTAAATGCAGTTTAAGATTACTTTGAGGAATTTTTTTTAACCTTAGAATATATCCCACTGGAAATTTTCAATCAAAATTAGATTATTTGAAGTAATTCTTTTCTCTGCATGAATATGTCACTAACTCGATTGATATTTAAACTTACTAATCCCTTTGTTTGCAGCTTTTAAATACTGTGGCTTCACTTTTTCTTTTTTTTTTCTGTTTTTTGTTTTTTGTTTTACATTTAGTATGTAAACAGCAAGATGAGTCCAAAGTCAAATCTAAGTATAATCAAGGTATAATCCTAGATATCTTGTTTCCATATCTGTTTCTCCACATTTTTCTCTCCCCTCTCCTAAAATTAACCATTTTCATTAGTTTTCACTTTGTCCATTCATCATTCTCTTTTAAAAATATAAACAAATATGATCATTCATATTTCTTTGTATCATACAAAAGGTAGCATTCTATTAACATTCTTCTGTTCCTTTATTCACTTAACAACATATCCTGAAAATAACTCCACAGAAGTACACAAAAATATTCCCTTTTATAGACAGCTCAGTGCTCCATTGTGTAAACATAATTCAATCAACTAGCCTCTTCTTATTGAACATTTGAGATGATTCCAGTCTTCCATTAATATAAATAATCAGAATCTATACTTTTAACTGGACCATGAAGATTCAGAAGAAAATCTAACATTTTATGCCTTATCTGTTTAACTTCAATGTGAGGGAGACTTTCTTTAATATTAAAAAAAAAAAGAAAGAAAGAGAAGAAAGAAAAAAGAGCCAGGTGCAGTGGTTCATGACTGTAATCCCAGCACTTTCGGAGGCAAAGTCGGGTGGATCACTTGAGGTCAGGAGTTCGAGACCAGCCTGGACAACATGGCGAAACTCCATCTCTACTAAAAATACAAAAATTAGCCCAGCACGGTGGCGCACACCTATAGTCTCAGCTACTCTGGAGGCTGAGGCAGGAGAATCGCTTGAACCCAGGAGGTGGAGGTTGCAGTGAGCAGAGATCGCACAACTGCACTCCAACCTGGGCGGCAGACTGAGACTCCACCTCAAAAAAATAAACAAAATAAAAAGAACCCAGATCTCATAAAGATAATGATTGGGAAAAATTTGACTACATGTAAATTAATAATATCTATATAGAAAAAAACACTTAAATAGGGTTAAGTGGTAGACAATAAAAAGAAGTCTTGGAACTCATGACAAAGAATTAGTCTTCCTAATTTTAAAAACAGTTGTTATTGATAAAGACCTCTAGTGAAATATGGCAGACTGAACATATACATTCACTGCTCCCTTCATAAATACTAAAATTCAAAGTAAAAGGATTTTCCAGTAGGCAATAAAACCCCCAAAGACAAGGAGAATGGAAAGGATGTGGTAGTAAAATTTTAGAACCTGAAAATCAAAATAACAAGCAGTAATTCAGGACATAGAGAAACCTGAATTATCAGCCACAATGTGAAAAACAGAATAAACCTGATTCATTTTA
The DNA here is from genome assembly GCF_000001405.40 of Homo sapiens. Classification (NCBI taxonomy): domain Eukaryota; kingdom Metazoa; phylum Chordata; class Mammalia; order Primates; family Hominidae; genus Homo; species Homo sapiens. Next base: position 121,259,739 of record NC_000006.12, read on the forward strand.
TAGAACCTCTCAAAAAACTCAAGAATTGGTGGTAACAAATATCTCTAAATTGGGGGGTAAAAGTGAAATTGAAAACAGAAGAGCTGCCTGAAAGCCAGTTTTAGGAGTCTGACCTCCAGATTCCCCCCAACATTTCATGCAGCTAACCCAGTGTGCTTCTTGAAAGGTAGGCAGAGCTCAAGAAATAGAAGACAACAGAGGGTATCACAGGATTCAATCGAAGTTTATATACTAACACTTGAGACCCATCACCATTTCCACCCAGCCTTCTTCTCCCACTAGGCTTATACTCCTCAGGCAGCTAACAGTAAGAGGTTTCTCTATGGAATCCCTTAAGAACAAAGGAGAAACCAAATATACTGACATTAGGGGTTCCCAAACAAAATGCCACAGAAAGGGCCCACTAAAGTAAAGACCACAAATTACAAGTCCCACTTTCTTGTATCGTTTCCAAGCATCTTTTTACTGACTTTCAAATATTTGAATAAACCTCCAATTTAAAAAAGACCATGATGAGAAATACAGAAAGCAATTTAGAAGGAAAAAAGAAAATATGACAGATTAAAGCTTTATTATCTTTATGTAGGTAAAAAGAACTTACACTCAAAAAAAAATGGGGGCAGGAGGCAAATGGCCAACTAGAAGCAGCGGCCATCAGAGGCTCCCACTGAAAAGAACCAAAACAGCATTTGAATCCTGCACTGGCAACTGAGGTATCCAGGTTTTATCATCAGAACTGACTAGGCGGCTGGCATGACCCATGGAGAGGAAGGAAGAGCAGGGTGGTATGGCAGCCCACCTTAGATCTACACAGGGCAAGGAGCTGCCTCCCCTCAGCCAAGTGGGATGGTGATTGAGCATGCTACCCAGCCTGGGAAGCTGTGCTTTTCCATGGAACTGTGCTGCCCATGGTTCAGAAGATCCCACTGGTGAGCCCACGCCACTGAGGCCTTCAGTCCAAACCACAGAGCCATGCAGACTCTCAACAGCCACTCGGCTGGAATCATCCTAGGCCTGCCAAGTTCCTGGAGGGAGGGGTGGCCATCACCACTGCTGCTGCTGATTGCTGTCTAAGCCATCTGAGCTCGCTGGGGGAGAGGCAGAGCCAACACTGCTGCGGCTAGCTACCTAAGACACTAAGCTCCCATGGGCGAAGGACTGCAGCTATCACTATAGCTCCAGGCCGTGCTTTTCCCTGCTAGAGCCAGGGAAATTCAGGAGGCTGAACGGCTTGGTCCCAAGAGGTATTCCCCACAGCGCAGCACACCAGCTGTGGCAGATCTTGGCCAGATTGCCTCTTCAGAACGGATGCTGACTCAACCCTCCTCACTGGGTGGGGTCTCCCTACAGGAACTCCAACAACTCCAGCCAGTGGCTCAGGGACAGAACTCTGATCTCCCTGGCCTGAGCCCCTAGAAGAAGGGGTGACCGCAGTCTCTATGGAACAGCAGACTTAGTCTTTCCTCCTGCTAGCTCTGAGGAATCTGGGCAGACCGGAAGAGTTGGTTTCCCCCCAGTGCAGCACACCCTCTGCCAAGGAGCAGTCAAAGTGGGTCCTGGTTCCCATGCCCCCCAACTGGGTGAGACACCCCAAAAGGGGTCACCAGACACCCTACACAGGAGCGTTCCTACTGGCATCAGGTTGGTGCCCCTCAAGGTCAGAGATCCCAGAGGAAAGAGCCAGGCACCCATCTTTGCTGTTCTCCAGCCTCCTCAGGTGACATCTCCAGGTGTGGAAGCGAACCAGATGAATAGGGCCTGAAGTGAACCCCCAGCAAACCACAGCAGCCCTACAGAAGAGGGACCTGACAATTGAAAGAAAAACAAACAGAAAGCTACAACAACAGCATCAACTAAAAAAATCCTCAAAAAAACCTCATCCAAGGGTCAGCAGCCTCAAAGATCCAAAGTGAACAAACTCATGAAGATGAGAAAGAATCAATGAAAAAAATGCTGAAAACCCAAAAGGCCAGATTGTCTCTTTTCCTCCAAATGATCACAACACCTCTCCAGCAAGGGCACAGAACTGGACGGAGGATGAGATGGATGAACTGACAGAAGTGGGCTTCAGAAGGCAGGTAATAACAAACTTCAATGAGGTAAAGGAGCATGTTCTAACCCAATGCAAAGATGCTTAGAACCATGATACTAGGTTACAGGAGCTGCTAACTAGAATAACCAGCTTAGAGAGGAACATTTTAAATGACCTGATGGAGTTGAAAAACACAACACGAAAACTCTGTGAATCATACACAAGAATCAATAGCCAAATCAATCAAGTGGAAGAAAAAATACCAGTGTTTGAAGACTATCTTGCTGAAATAAGGCAGGCTTAGAGAAAAAAGAGTAAGAAGTAATGTACAAAACCTACAAGAATTATGGGACTATGTAAAAAGACTGAACCTATGACTGATTGGAGTACCTAAAAGAAACGGGAAGAATGGAACCAAGTTAGAAAACACACTTCAGGATATCATCCAGGAGAACTTCCCCAACCTAGCAGGACAGGCCAACATTCAAATTCAGGAAATACAGAGAACCTCACTAAGATACTCCACGAGAAGATCAACCACAAGACACATAATCATCAGATTCTCCAAGGTTGAAATGAAAGAAAAAATGTTAAGGGCAGCCAGAGAGAAAGGCCAGGTCACCTACAAAGGGAAGCCCATCAGAGTAATAGCAGATATCTCAGCAAAAAATCTATAGGCCAGAAGAGAATAGAGGCCAATATTAAATACTTTTTTTTTTTTTTTGAGACAGAGTCTCGCTCTGTCACCCAGGCTGGAATGCAGTGGCATGATCTCGACCCACTGCAACCTCCTCCTCCCAGGTTCAAGCAATTCTCCTGCCTCAGCCTCCTGAGTAGCTGGGACTATAGGCATGTGCCACCATACCTGGCTAATTTTTCTATTTTTAGTACAGACAGAGTTTCGCCATGTTGGCCAGGCTGGTCTCGAACTCCTGACCTCAGGTGATCTGCCCGCCTCAACCTCCCAAAGTGCGAGGATTACAGGCATGAGCTATGGCACCCAGCCATTGAACATTCTTAAAGAAAAAAATTTTCAACTCAGAATTTCATATCTGGCCAAACGAAGCTTCATAAATAAATAAAATCCTTTACAGACAATCAAATGCTAAGGGAGTTCATCACCACCAGGCCTGCCTTGCAAGAGTTCCTGAAGCAAGCACTAAATAGGGAGAGGAAAAATCAGTACCAGCCACTGAAAAAAAACACACTAAACTACAAAGACCAATGACATTATGAAGAAACTGGATTAACTAGTGTGCAAAATAACCAGCTGGCATCATGATGACAGGATCAAATTCACACATAACAATATTAACCTACAATGTAAATGGGCTAACTGCCTCAATTAAAAGATACAGACTGGAAAATTGGATAAAGAGTCAAGACGAATCAGTGTGCTGTATTCAAGAGACTCATCTCATATGCAAATATACACATAGGCTCAAAAAACAAAACAAAAAAAAGATAGAGGTAAATCTACCTAGCAAATGGAGAGCAGAAAAAAAGCAGGGGTTTCAACACCAGTTTCTGACAAAACAGACTTTAAACCAACAAAGATCAAAAAAGACAAAGAAGGCCATTACATAATGGTAAAGGGATCAATTCAACAAGAAGAGCTAACTATCCGAAATATACATGCACCCAATATAGGAGCACCCAGTTTGATAAAACAAGTTTTTAGAGACCTAAAAGCGGCTTAGACTACCACACAATAATAGTGGGAGACTTTAATACCCCACTGACAATATGAGACAGTGGGGTATTAACGAGACAGAAAATTAACAAGGATACTCAGGACTTGAACTCAGCTCTGGATCAAGAGGACCTAATAGATATCTACAGAACTCTCCACCCGAAAACAACAGAATATACATTCTTCTCAGTGCCACATGGCACTTACTTTAAAATCAACCACATAATTGGAATTAAAATACTCCTCAGCAAATGCAAAAGAAATGAAATCATTATAGACAGTCTCTCAAACCACAGTGCAAAACTCAAGATTAAGAAACTCACCCAAAACCACACAAATACATCAAAATTGAACAACCTGCTCCTGAATGACTCCTAGGTAAATAATGAAAGTAAGGCAGAAATCAAGAATTTCTTTGAAGCCAATGAAAACAAAAAGACAATGTACCAAAATCACTGGGATGCAGCTAAAGCAGTGTTAGGAGGGAAATTGATAGCACTAAATGCCCACATCAGGAAGCTAGAAAGATCTCAAATCGACACCATAACATCAAAACTAAAATAACTAGCGAATCAAGAGCAAACAAATACAAAAGCTAGAAGACAGGAAATAACTAAGAACAGAGCAGAAATGAAGGAGAGACGGACATGAAAACCCTTCAGAAAAAATCAATGAATCCAGGAGCTGTTTTCTTGAAAAAATAAAATAGACCACTAGTTAGATTAATAAAGAAGAAAAGAGAGAAGAATCAAATAGATGCAATAAAAAATGAAAAAAGAGATATCACCACCAACCCCACAGAGTCAAACTACCATCAGAGAATACTACAAACATCTCTGTGTAAATAAACTAGAAAATCTAGAAGAAATGGTTAAATTCCTGGACACATAAACCCTCCCAAGAAGAAGTCAAATCCTTGAATAGACCAATAACAAGCTCTGAAATTGAGGCAGTAATAAATAGCCTAGCAACTAAAAAAAGCCAAGGACCAAATGGATTCACAGCCAAATTCTACCACAGGTACCAAGAGGAGCTGGTACCATTCCTGCTGAAACTATTCCTAACAATTAAAAGGAAGGGATTCCTTCCTAACTCATTTTATGAGGCCACCATCATCCTGATACCAAAGCCTGGCAGAGACACAACAAAAAAAGAAAACTTCAGGCCAATATCCCTAATGAACATCAGTGTGAAAATCCTCAACAAAATACTCACAAACCAAATCCAGCAGCACATCAAAAAGCTTATCCACCATGATCAAGCTGGCTTCATCCCTGGGATGCAAGGCTGGTTCAACATACACAAATCAATAAACATAATTCATCACGTAAACAGAACCAATGACAAAAATCATGATTACCTCAATAGATGCAGAAAAGACCTTCGATAAAATTCAACATCCCTTCATGCTAAAAACTCTCAATAAACTAGGTATTGATGGAACATATCTCAAAATAATAAGAGCTATTTATGACAAACTTACAGACAATATTATACTGAATGGACAAAAGCTAGAAGCACTCCCTTTCAAAACCAGCAAAAGACAAGGATGCCCTCTCTCACCACTCCTATTAAACATAGTATTGGAAGTTCTGGCCAAGGCAATCAGGCAATAGAAACAAATAAAGGGTATTCAAATAGGAAGAGAGGAAGTCAAATTGTCTCTGTTTGCAGATGACATGATCCTATATTTAGAAAACCCCATCGTGTCAGCCCAAAAGCTCCTTAAGCTGACAAGCAACTTTAGCAAAGTCCCAGTATATAAAATCAATGTGCAAAAATCAGAACCATTACTATACATCAACAACAGACAGAGAGCCAAATCATGAATGAACTCCCATTCACAATTGCTACAAAAAGAATAAAATACCTAGGAATACAGCTAACAAGGGACGTGAAGGAACTCTTCAAAGTGAACTATAAGCCACTGCTCAAGGCAATAAGAGAGGACATAAACAAATGGAAAAACATTCTATCCTCATGGATAGCAAGAATCAACATTGTGAAAATGGCCATACTGCCCAAAGTAAATCATAGATTCAATGCTATTCCCATCAAACTACCATTGACATTCTTCACAGAATTAGAAAAAAAACTACTTAAAAAAAATTCATATGGAACCAAAAAAGAAAAAAAAAAGAGCCCATATAGCCAAGTCAATCCTAAACAAAAAGAACAAATCTGGAGGCATCATGCTACGTGACTTCAACTATACTAAAAGACTACAGTAACCAAAACTGCATAGTACTGGTACAAAAACAGACATATAGACCAATGGAAAAGAATAGAGGCCTCAGAAATAAGACCACATCTACAACCATTTGATCTTTGACAAACCTAACAAAAACAAGCAATGAAGAAAGGAATCCCTATCTAATAAATGGTGGTGGGAAAACTGGCTAATCATATGCAGAAAACTGAAAATGGAAGCCTTCCTTACACCTTATATAAAAATTAACTCAAAATGGATTAAAGACTTGAATGCAAAACTCAAAACCATAAAACCACAGAAGAAAACCTAGACAATACCATTCAGGACATGGGCATGAGCAAAGATTTTATGATGAAATCGCAAAAAGCAATTGCAACAAAAGCTAAAACTGATAAATAAGATCTAATTAAACTAAAGAGCTTCTGCAAAGCAAAAGAAACTATTATCAGCATGAACAGGCAACCTGCAGAATGGGAGAAAATTTTTGCAATGTACCATCTGACAACATATAATACCCAGAATTTACAAGGAACTTAAACAAATTTACAAGAAAAAAATAAGCAACCCCATCAAAAAGTAGACATGAATGGACACTTCTCAAAAGAAGACATTTATGCAGCCAACAAACCTATGAAAAAAAGCTCAATATTAGTGATCATTAGAGAAATGCAAATCAAAACCACAATGAGATACCATCTCATGCCAGTTAGAATGGCAATTATTAAAAAGTCAAGGAACAACAGATGCTAGAGTGGATGTGGAGAAATAGGAATGCTTTTACACTGTTGGTGGGAATGTAAATTAGTTCAACCACTTCTGACAGTGTGGCAATTCCTCAAGGATCTAGACGCAGAAATATCATTTGAGTCAGCAATCCCACTACTGGGTATATACCCAAAGGAATATAAATCATTCTATTATAAAGATACATGGACATGTATGTTTACTGCAGCACTATTCACAATAGCAAAGATGTGGAACCAACCCAAACGCCTATTAATTATAGACTGGATAAGAAAATGTGGCACACATACACCATGGAATACTATGCAGCCATAAAAATGAATGAGCTCATGTCCTTTGCAGGCAGATGGATGAAGCTGGAAACCATCATCCTCAGCAAACTAACACGGAAACAAAAAACCAAATACCACATGTTCTCACTCATAAGTGGGAGATGAAAAATGAGAACACATGGACACAGAGAGGAGAACAACACACACCAGGGCCTGTCGGTGGGGAAGGGGCAAGGGGAGGGAGAGTGTCAGGACAAATAGATAATGCATGCAGGGCTTAATACCTAAGTGAGGTTGATATGTGCAGCAAACCATCATGGCACACATTTACCTATGTAACAAACATGCATGTTCTGCACATGTATCCTGGAACTTAAAAGTAAAATTAAAAAAAAAAAAAAAAGAATAGGACACTAAAATAACAATGTGCTCTTCTAAAAAAAAAAAAAGGTCGGGGGGAGGTTCCAAGATGGCTGAATAGGAACAGCTCCAGTCTACAACTCCCAGCGTGAGCGACGCAGAAGATGGGTGATTTCTGCATTTCCAACTAAGGTACCAGATTCATCTCACTGGGGCTTGTCGTACACTGGGTGCAGCCCATGGAGTGTGAACCGAAGCAGGGCGGGGCATCGCCTTGAAAGCGAAGCCCAAGGGGTCAGGGAATTCCCTTTCCTAGCCAAGGGAAGCTATGACAGACGGTACCTGGAAAATTGGGACACTCCCACCCAAATACTGCACTTTTCCAACGGTCTTAGCAACAGCACACCAGGAGATTATATCCTGCACCTGGCTTGGAGGGTCCCAAGCCCACAGAGCCTCCCTCACGGCTAGCACAGCAGTCTGAGATCAAACTGCAAGGTGACAGCAAGGCTGGGGGAGGGGCATCTGCCATTGCTGAGGCTTCAGTAGATAAACAAAGTGGCTGGAAAGCTTGAACTGGAGCCCACCGTAGCTCAAGGAGGCCTGCCTGCCTCTGTAGATGCCACCTCTGGGGACAGGGCATAGCTGAACAAAAGGCAGCAGAAACTTCTGCAGACTTAAATGTCCCTGTCTGACAGCTTTGAAGAGAGTAGTGGTTCTCCCTCTCTCCTCCTCCTCAAGTGGGTCCCTCCCTCCTCAAGTGGGTCCCTGTCTCCCAAGTAGCCTAACTGGCAGACAACTCTCAGTAGGGGCCAATGGACACCTCATATAACCGGGTGCCCTCCTGAGATGAAGCTTCCAGTGGAACGATCAGGCAGCAACATTTGCCATTCTGCAATATTTGCTGTTCTGCAGCCTCCACTGGTGATACCCAGGCAAACAGCGTCTGGAGTGGACCTCCAGCAAACTCCAACAGACCTGCACCGGAGGGTCCTACTGTTAGAAGGAAAACTAACAAACAGAAAGAATATCCACACCAAAACCCCATCTGTACGTCACCATCATAAAAGAAAAAAGGTAGATAAAATCACAAAGATGGGGAGAAACCAGAGCAGAAAAGCGAAAATTCTAAAAATCAGAGCACTTCTTCTCCTCCAAAGGAATGCAGCTCCTCGCCAGCAACAGAACAAAGCTGAATGGAGAATGACATTGATGAGTTGAGAGAAGAAGGCTTCAGATGATCGGTAATAACAAACTGCTCCAAGCTAAAGGAGGATGTTCAAACCCATTGCAAACAAGCTAAAAATCTTCAGAAAAGATTAGATGAATGGCTAACTAGAATAAACAGCACAGAGAAGATCTTAAATGACCTGATGGAACTGAAAACCATGGCATGAGAACTACGTGACGCATGCAAAAGCTTCAGTAGCCAGTTCGATCAACTGGAAGAAAGGGTAACAGTGAATGAAGATCAAATGCATGAAATTACGCAAGAAGAGAAGTTTAGAGAAAAGGACTAAAAAGAAATGAACAAAGCCTCCAAGAAATATGGGACTACGTGAAAAGACCAAATCTACGTCTGACTGATGTACCTGAAAGTGACGGGGAGAATGAAACCAAGTTGGAAAACGTTCTTCAGGATATTATCCAGGAGAACTTCCCCAACCTAGCAAGGCAGGCCAACATTCAAATTCAGGAAGTACAGAGAACACCACAAAGATACTCCTCAAGAAGAGCAACTGCAAGACACATAATTGTCAGATTCACCAAAGTTCAAATGAAGGAAAAAAATGTTAAGGGCAGCCAGAGATAAAGGTCGGGTTATTCACAAAGAGAAGCCCATCAGACTAACAGCGGATCTCTCGGCAGACACTCTGCAAGCCAGAAGAGAGTAGCAGCCAATATTCAACCTTCTTGAAGAAAAGAATTTTCAACCCAGAATTTCATGTCCAGCCAAACTAAGCTTCAAAAGTGAAGGAGAAATCAAATCCTTTGCAGACAAACAAATGCTGAGAGATTTTGTCACCACCAGGCCTGCCTTACAAGAGCTGCTGAAGGAAGCACTAAACATGGAATGGAACAACTGGTACCAGCCACTGCAAAAACATGCCAACTTGTACAGACCATCGAGGCTCGGAAGAAACTGCATCAACTAACAAGCAAAATAACCAGCTAACATCATAATGACAGGATCAAATTCACATATAACAATATTAACCTTAAATGAAAATGGGCTAAATGCTCCAATTAAAAGACATAGACTGGCAAATTGGATAAAGAGTCAAGACCCATCAGTGTGCTATATTCAGGAGACCCATATCATGAGAGAGACACACATAGGCTGAAAATAAAGGGATGGAGGAAGATCTACCAAGCAAATGGAAAACAAAAAAAAGCAGGGGTTGCAATCCTAGTCTCTGATAAAACAGACTTTAAACCAACAAAGATCAGAAGAGACAAAGAAGGACATTACATAATGGTAAAGGGATCAATTCAACAGGAAGAGCTAACTATCCGAAACATATATGTACCCAATACAGGAGCACCCAGATTCATAAAGCAAGTCCTTAGTGACCTACAAAGAGACTTACACTCCCACACAATAATAATGGGAGACTTTAACACCCCACTGTCAACATTAGACAGATCAAAGAGATAGAAAGTTAACAAGGATATCCAGGAATTGAACTCAGCTCTGCACCAAGTAGACCTAATAGACATCTACAGAACTCTCCACCCCAAATCAACAGAATATACATTCTTCTCAGCACCACATTGCACTTATTCCAAAATTGACCACATAGTTGGAAGTAAAGCACTCCTCAGGAAATGTAAAAGAACAGAAATTATAACAAACTGTCTCTCAGACCACAGTGCAATCAAACTAGAACTCAGGATTAAGAAACTCACTCAAAACTGCTCAACTACATGGAAACTGAACAACCTGCTCCTGAATGACTACTGGGTACATAATGAAATGAAGGCAGAAATAAAGATGTTCTTTGAAACCAACGAGAACAAAGACACAACATACCAGAATCTCTGGGACACATTCAAAGCAGTATGCAGAGGGAAATTTATAGCACTAAATGCCCACAAGAGAAAGCAGGAAAGATTTAAAATTGACACCCTAACATCACAATTAAAAGAACTAGAGAAGCAAGAGCAAACATATTCAAAAGTTAGCAGAAGGCAAAAAATAACTAAGATCAGAGCAGAACTGAAGGAGATAGAGACACAAAAAAACCCTTCAAAAAAAATCAATGAATCCAGGAGCTGGTTTTTTGAAAAGATCAACAAAATTGATAAACTGATAGCCAGACTAAAAGAAAAGAGAGAAGAATCAAATAGATGTAATAAAAAATGATAAAGGGTATATCACCACCAATCCCACAGAAATACAAACTACCATCAGAGAATACTATAAACACCTCTACGCAAATAAACTAGAAAATCTAGAAGAAATGGATAAATTCATGGACACATACACCCTCCCAAGACTAAACCAAGAAGAAGCTGAATCCCTGAATAGACCAATATCAGGCTCTGAACTTGAGGCAATAATTAATAGCCTACCAACCAAAAAAAGTCCAGGACCAGACGGATTCACAGCCAAAATCTACCAGAAGTACAAAGAGGAGCTGGTACCATTACTTCTGAAACTATTCCAATCAATAGAAAAAGAGGGAATCCTCTCTAACTCATTTTATGAGGCCAGCATCATCCTGATACTAAAGCCTGGCAGAAACACAACAAAAACAGGGAATTTTAGACCAATATTCCTGATGAACATCGATGCAAAAATCCTCAATAAAATACTGGCAAACCGAATCCAGCAGCACATCAAAAAGCTTATCCACCACAAACAAGTTGACTTCATCCCTGGGATGCAAGGCTGGTTCAACATATGCAAATCAATAAAGGTAATCCCTCATATAAACAGAACCAAAGACAAAAACCACATGATTATCTCAATAGATGCAGAAAAGGCCTTCAATAAAAATTCAACAGCCCTTCATGCTAAAAACTCTCAATAAACTAGGTATAGATGGGACGTATCTCAAAATAATAAGAGCTATTTATGACAAACCCACAGCCAATATCATATTGAATGGGCAAAAACTGGAAGCATTCCCTTTGAAAACTGGCACAAGACAGGGATGCCCTCTTTCACCACTCCTATTCAACAGAGTTTTGGAAGTTCTGGCCAGGGCAATCAGGCAGGAGAAAGAAATAAAGGGTATTCAATTAGGAAAAGAGGAAGTCAAATTGTCCCTGTTTGCAGATGACATGATTGTATATTTAGAAAACCCAATCGTCTTGGCCCAAAATCTCCTTAAGCTGATAAGCAACTTCAGCAAAGTCTCAGGATACAAAATCAACGTGTAAAAATCACAGGCATTCCTATACACCAATAACAGACAAACAGAGAGCCACATCCTGAGTGAACTCCCATTCACAATTGCTTCAAAGAGAATAAAATACCTAGGAATCCAACTTACAAGGGATGTGAAGGATCTCTTCAAGGAGAACTACAAACCACTGCTCAATGAAATAAAAGAGGACACAAACAAATGGAAGAACATTCCATGGTCATGGATAGGAAGAATCAATATCATGAAAATGGCCATACTGCCCAAGGTAATTTATATATTCAATGCCATCCCCATCAAGCTACCAATGACTTTCTTCACAGAATTGGATAAAACTACTTTAAAGTTCATATGGAATCAAAAAAGAGCCTGCATTGCCAAGACAATCCTAAGACAAAAGCTGGAGGCACCATGCCACCTGACTTCAAACTGTACTACAAGGCTACAGTAACCAAAACAGCATGGTACTGGTACCAAAACAGAGATATAGACCCATGGAACAGAACAGAGCCCTCAGAAATAATACCACACATCTACAACCATTTGATCTTTGAGAAACCTGACAAAAACAAGAAATGGGGAAACGATTCCCTATTTAATAAATGGTGCTGGGAAAACTGGCTAGCCATATATAGAAAGCTGAAACTGGATCCCTTCCTCACACCTTATACAAAAATTAATTCAAGATGGATTAAAGACTTAAATGTTAGACCTAAAACCATAAAAACCCTAGAAGAAAACCTAGGCATTACCATTCAGGACATAGACATGGGCAAGGACTTCATGACTAAAACACCAAAAGCAATGGCAACAAAAGCCAAAATTGACAAATGGGATCTAACTAAACTAAGGAGCTTCTGCACAGCAAAAGAAACTACCATCAGAGTGAACAGGCAACCTACAGAAAGGGAGAAACTTTTTACAATCTATCCATCTGACAAAGGGCTAATATCCAGAATCTACAAAGAACTCAAACAAATTTACAAGAAAAAAAACAAACAACCCCATCAAAAAGAGGGCAAAGGATATGAATAGACACTTATCAAAAGAAGACATTTATGCAGCCCACAGACACATGAAAAAATGCTCATCATCACCGGCCATCAGAGAAATGCAAATCAAAACCACAATGAGATACCATCTCACACCAGTTAGAATGGCGATCATTAAAAAGTCAGGAAACAACAGGTGCTGGAGAGGATGTGGAGAAATAGGAACACTTTTACACTGTTGGTGGGACTGTAAACTAGTTCAACCATTGTGGAAGACAGTGTGGCAATTCATCAAGGATCTAGAACTAGAAATACCATTTGACCCGGCCATCCCCTTACTGGGTATATACCCAAAGGATTATAAATCATGCTGCTGTAAAGACACATGCACACGTATGTTTACTGCAGTACTATTCACAATAGCAAAGACTTGGAACCAACCCAAATGTCCATCAATGATAGACTGGATGAAGAAAATGTGGCACATATACACCATGGAATACTACGCAGCCATAAAAACGGATGAGTTCATGTCCTTTGTAGGAACATGGATGAAACTGGAAACCATCATTCTGAGCAAACTATCACAAGGAGAAAAAACCAAACACTGCATGTTCTCACTCATAGGTGGGAATTGAACAATGAGAACTCTTGGACACAGGGTGGGGAACATCACACACCAGGGCTTGTTGTGGGGTGGGGTGCTAGGGGAGGGATAGTTTTAGGAGATATACCTAATGTAAATGACAAGTTAATGGGTGCAGCACACCAACATAGCACACGTATACATATGTAACAAACTTGCACGTTCTGCACATGTACCCTAGAACTTAAAGTATAATTAAAAAGAAAAGAAAATGTGGCACATATACACCATGGAATACTATGCAGCCATAAAAAAGTATGAGGTCATGTCCTTTGTAGGGACATGGATGAAGCTGGAAACCATCATTCTCAGCAAACTATCACAGGGACAGAAAACCAAACACTGCATGTTCTCACTCATAGGTGAGAACTGAACAATGAGAACACTTGGACACAGGGTGGGGAACATCACACACCGGGGCCTGTCGTGGGGTTGGGGGGGTTAGGGATAGCATTAAGAGATATACCTAATGTAAATGACGAGTTAATGGGTGCAGCACACCAACATGACACACATATACATATGTAAAAAACCTGCACATTGTGCACATGTACCCTAGAACTTAAAGTATAATTTAAAAAAAAAAAAAAAGCTGTTGAATCAAGTTTGGCCTAAAACTGTCTGCTTATGCATTTTAAGTTCAGCCTAAATGTTTCTCTGTACATAGTGAACTATAACCTTGATGGAAGTATAAACAGACTGTAACCTACTCTTGTGCCAATCACCACTGGCCAATTAAAGGGGGCCAACTGTTCAAACTGTGTTCAAATAATGCAAAACGGCAAGCTGTAACCAAAATGACTGTTTCTGTACCTCACTTCCATTTTCTGTGCATCATTTTCCTGTTTCTGTTCATAAATCTTCTTCCACCATGTGGCTGTGCTGGAGTTTCTCTGAGCCTACTCTGGTTGAGGAGGCTGCTTGATTCACAAAGTGTTCTTTGCTCAATTAAACTCTGTTAAATTAAAACAAAACAAAACAAAACAAAAAAGCCGGGCATGGTGGCTCATGCCTGTAATCCCAGCACTTTAGTAGGCCAAGGCGGGCAGATCATGAGGTCGGGAGGTGGAGACCAGCCTGGCCAATATAGTGAAACCCCATCTCTACTAAAAATACAAAAATGAGCCAGGCGTGGTGGCACACACCTATAGTCCCAGCTACTCGGGAGGCTGAGGCAAAAGAATTGCTTGAACCCAGGAGGCGGAGGTTGCAGTGAGCCAAGATCATGCGACTGCACTCCAGCCTGGGCGACAGAGTCATGAGACTCTGTCTCAAAAACAAACAAACAAACAACAACAAAAAAAAAACCCACACAACTTAAATGAAAAATTCAATTTCAACAGAAAGGCTAGAAAATGAAAGCAGAAAAAAATTCCCAGAAAAAAAGATTTTAAAAGGAATAGAAAATAGAACAGATAAGAATGTCCAAGTTCAAATAATAGAATTTCAGAAAAAAAAAAAGAAGAAATCCAACTATTTTCCCTAAAAGGCATGAATCTTCAAATTTACAATGTCCATCAATACATGTACAATTATTATGTGTCAATTTAAAAAGACACTCATCAAGTACATAAAAGTAGAACTTCATCAAGAAACATCATAACATTTTGGATAATTAAACACCAAAAAAAGACAAAAAAGACTTCTAGAAAAAGGAAAATGAAAAATAAGGCTACTCCATAATGATGACAAAATACATTTCAGCGTAAAAGTTATGCACAAAACTGAGGCAGAAACCCATTCTGAATAAAGTAGGTGGGAAGGCTCAAAAACAGATGTCTTTAATTAAACTCCTGGACTTTGGTATTTTAACATGCTGAGAGAGGATTTAGTCAATTAGAAAAAAACATGTAGATGGCTTAGCACTGCAGTGACAGCTAAGTACATTGAAAATTGTAGCAACAAACAAAAAAAAAGATTAACTCCAGAGAAGGCAAAAATTGTGAAAGAATAGAAAAGTAACAAAAGAATACCACATGGCTCAGCTGTGAAAAGTGTTCACAATGTGAATACAGTAAAACATTAAATAAGTCGATTGCACAACAGTATTGCACCGATGGAGAATGAAGGAACTAGGTACCTATATGTATTTGTATGTTTGGTGGGGAAAGCAGGCAAGAGAGATAAATTGTTGTAATGTAAGTCAATGAACAATTGACAATTTAGCCTTAAGCTAAAAGAAATTATATGCACATTACTTGATAATATAAACACTAAAGAAAACATCAAAAATAGCTGAAAGTAGTTGTCTCTAGAGAGCAAGAAAGGAACTGCTACTTTTTATAATAAACCTTTATGTTTCCTGTATGCATACATAACTCAATGAACAATAAATCAAGTTTTAAATGGACAAATGATATGGAAAGGAACATTACTATCAAGGAAATGGAAATAGCCAATAACCCTATTGCCACAGGAGCAATGAGATGCTCAAACTCAGTGAGATGACACATGAAATATGAATCAAATAAGTAAATATAAATCAAAACAAGATCTTTCATTCATTAGGTTGCCAAAACATTTACAAACTGATTATGCAGTCCTGACAAGAATATAAAAAGGAGGGGATACCTCGTACTTCCCATAGACTGCTGGCAAGAAGGTAAAATTCAACTATTTTGAAAAGTAATCTGGCAGGATCTACAAGATATAAAATGTACAGGCCCTCTGACCCAGCAATATCACTTTCAGGACTATCTTACTAAAATTAAAAAGACTAGCAATATAAAGCATTTGATAACCCATAAAATCTTTATTTTTCTTATTAATTAATCTAATGAGGCTGGGTGAGGTGGCTGACACCTGTAATCCCAGCACTTGGGGAAGCCAAGGCAGGCAGATCGCTTGAGCTCAGGAGTTCAAGACCAGTCTGGGAAACGTGGTGAAACCGTGTCTCTGCTAAAAAAATTAACCGGGCAAGGTGGTGCACACCTATAGGTCCCAGCTACTTGGGAGACTGAAGCACGAGAATCACTTGAGCCTGGGAGGCAGACATTGCAGTGAGCCGAGTTCACGCCACAGCACTCCAGCCTGGGCAACAGAGTGAGACCTTGTCTCAAAAAAAAAAAAAAAACAAACGACAATAACAAAAAAACATCTAACGGACAAGTTTATTCAAAGTAATTATTGCAAAAAAGTATTTGGTGATTATAGTTTATGAAAAAGTAAATGAGTAACAGAAACGATATAAGGGACAGAAGGGAGGAAATGACTTCTTATAAGGTCATTGCGCTAGATGTTAAGTGATACAGTGTTATTTGAAAGAGGACTAAATACAACTAAAACAATATAATTAGCAATTACAACTAATTCTGTTGTAAATGTATATTACAAACTTAATAGCAACCATTAAAAAGAGTGACAAAAAAGTATAATTGATATACTAAGAGAGGAGATAAAATGAAATCACATAGAACGCTCAATCAAAGCCAGATAAGGCAAAAAGAGTAGAACACAAAAAAAGGGCAAAAAATACAGTAAATATTAACCTAATTATATCAATAATTAATTGTTAATGTCATAAATACATCAATAAAAGACTATCAAAGTAGATTAAAAGTCAAGACCCAACTACATGTTGTCTATAAAAATCCCACTTTACACTTTAAACATAAAGACGAAGATAAATTAAAAGGAAAAGGATGGAGGAAAGACATACCATGCTAACTATAATCAAAAGAAAGCTGGAGTAGCTGTATTAGTTTCAGACAAAGCAGACTGCAAAGCAAGGAAAATTATCAAGGGTAAAAAGGAACATTAAATAACAATAAAGGGGTCAATTTTCCAAGAAGACATAACAATCCTTAATGTGTATGCACCTAACAACAAAGCATCAAAATACTTAAATGAAAAACTGATAGAACTGCAGGGAGAAATAGATGAATTCACTAATATAGCTGGAGCTTTCAACATACCTCTATCAGTAATTGACAGATTCAGCAGGATGTCAGTAAGGACAAAGTTGAACCAAACAGTACCATCAATCAGCTGAATATAATTGACATCCAACAATAGTAGAATATATATTATATAAGCTTACAGAGATAATTCACTAAGATGTCACTTTCTGGGCCATAAAACATAAAATACACTTTGAAAACTAGAAATTATATAAAGTGTGCTGTCAGATCTGTAAAAACACAAGGGTTGGGAGCAGTGGCTCATGCCTATAATCCCAGTACTTTGGGGGCCAAGGCAGGTGAATCACTTGAGGTCAGGAGTTCCAGACCAGCCTGGCCAGCATGGTGAAAGCCCATCTCTAACAAAAATACAAAAATTAGCCAGGCATGGTGGCATGCACCTGTAGTCCCAGCTACTTGGGAGGTTGAGGCACTAGAATCGCTTGAACCCAGAAGGTGGAGTTTGCAGTGAGCCAAGATTGTGCTATTGTACTCCAGCCTGGGCGACAGAGAAAGACTCCATCTCAAAAAAAAAAAAAAAAAAAAAAACCACAAGGGTCAAAGAAATCTCAAGAGAAAATAAAAATATTTTGAACTAAATGAAAAATGAAGATACAACTTATCAAAACTATGAGATGTAGGAAAGATGTGGTTTAGAGGGAAATTTATAGCATTAAGTACAAATATAAAAGCACAAATATTATAAAAAAAGAAAAGAGCTAAAACGAATCATGTAAGCTTCCACCATAGAAAACTAGGAAGAGAAAATTAAATCCAAAGTAAGAAGAAATAAAAAATTAGAAGAGAAATCAATAAAATTAAAAACATGAAATCAATAGAGAAAAATCAACAAAACCAGAAGTTAGTTTTTTGAAAAGAACAGTAAAATTTATAAGCCTCTAGTCAGGTTAACTAAGAAAAAAAAAAAGAGAAGACACAAATTACTAACATCAGAAGTGAAAGAGGAGCCATCACTACTCATTTCAATGATATTAACAGGATAAGGAAATATTATGAACAATTCTGTGCCCACAGATTTGATAATTTAGATAAATTCACCAATTCCTTGAAAGACATATTTTGCCAACATTCACATAAGAGCAAGTAGGCAATCTGAATAGGCCTCTGTTTATTAAATAAATTGAATGAATAACTAATAACCTTCCAAAATAGAAAACACCAGGCTAAAATTGGTTTGCTGGTGAATTTTATAAAATATTTTATGAAGAAATTAAACCAATTCTGTGTCATATCCTCCAGAAGATAGAAAGAATAACTTCTCATTTATTATAAGGTCACCATTCCAATAATACCAAAACCAGCCAAAGATTACATATTCTACAGACTGATATATCTCATGAACATAGAGGCAAAAATCCTCAATAAATATTAGCAAATGAAAGCCAACAAAGTGTAAGAATGATTTATATATCATGAACAAGTGGGATTTATTTCAGGTATGTAAAACTGGCTCAACATTTGAACATCAATTAATGTAATATCAACAAGCTAAATAAGAAAAAGAGCATTTATTGCAGTGTTATTTATGGAGAGAAAATTCCTAGACACAATCTGATGTTCACTAAGAGGGAAATGTTTGAATAAATTGTGGTACAGCTATACACAAAAGTGTAATGCAGACATTAAAAATCATGTTTCATTCTGTATTCACCTAAGAAAATTCCCATAGTTATAAAATAAATCAAGCTGCAGGGTAATGTATAAAATATAATACCATTTTTGTAAAGAGAAGATAAAATATGACTGTTTATATGTAGGTTTGTCTGATTATAAGCACAGAGAAAGTCTAGAAGTGTAAACACAAAAATATTACCATTGGTTAAGTGAGAAAATAGGAACTAGAGGAGGAAGAAAAAATAGCTAGCTTCTTTGCACAACTTTGGTTTGACTTAATCATGTGTGACAAAAGTCTGTAAGTGAAAATACAAGGGAGCAGATAATGGGGGAGTAAGGAAACCCATCGAGAGTGAACTCTCCTATTCTTATTTTGAAATTACAGACGTCAAGTTCTACTCTGGCTGCATAGTCCATAATCCTGGTTACTCCAGCTTTTTTAGATCATTTAATATATTATTAGCAGCTTGTCAGAAAACCAAACTATACCTGGAATAATTATCCGGATTTAAAATAGCACATACCTTTCTTCAGAAGAGTTCATATTTGCTCCATAAAGGAGTAAAATAAGCCCTTCTTCTACAGATGCAATTCTTGCCAAAATACCAGCTATATGAATTAAAGCTGTCTCAGAGCAATTTGGAGATGCCTGTACATTAAAAAGAAAACAAGACAAATCACATAATTTTATGACATGCTAACATATCACAGACTAAAATCCGAGGATTGTAAGTAGTCTTATAAAGTTATATTACAACAAAAAACAAGCTTAATGATTTGTTTGGCTGTGAAATAATATGTCTGAAAAAAATGTGTTATTAGATTATATTCTTTTACCAGCCCAACTGATGAAGCAAATAAATACAGATTTTTTTTCACCCAAACTATTGAGAATTGCTGCTCTTGTTACAGTTTTATATATAATTCTGGTTGGCAAATGTAGTAGCTCTTGTATTTCCACTTTGCCCTTTATTTCCCACCCACTGGGCTCCTGAGTATCCAATATAATTACATTATATATGGTATCTAACACACTGCCATCCCTTCTAAGGGTGTCATTCTCTTACACACATGTTTGCGTCATGAATGTACATCCAACTAGGGATAGCCAATTCATGGGCTGGTCAATAGGCAATAATGTCACCTAATAAGAAAACAAAGACTGAACTAACCATATTTGCTCACTTTTGCTTTCAAATGGAAGTACTAAAATACCTTTGCCAATATATTACAAAGCAGCACAAAGCACATACTGAAAACCAGAGAGCCATGTTAATGCTAGAGTGTATCTACAGTATTATAATTCCTGCTCTTTGTGGGGTCTGCTTATTTACCTGTACCTGCATGGATGCCAACACACATATTATCTATAATACATTTGAAAACGTAAATGTTGCAACCAACACATTCTAATAAATTTAGTGGGCTAGCCTAACTAATGATTAGTCAGGTATACTCACCTAAAGAAGTCCTAATTATTACTAATCATACTGTTTAGCATGAATAGCACTATTCATACTACTTAGCACAAAAAGTATATCACTTTTCCTATTAAATATCTTTCTTAAAACAACTTCTCTCCTTAGAATACATTCCTTCTTTCACGAGACTATATATATTCTCTCATGTCTATATAAATATAAACACAGTATTTTAAAACTTTCTATTCCTCATTTTAAATATTTTTTGTTTAAAGGTCTGTCTTGCCTATTACAGTAGGCTTCTTACAGGCAATAAACACGTATTATTCACTTCTATATTTGCAGTACCCAGCAGAGAGCTAATGATATAGTAGAGGTTCAATGGTTGATGCTGGATGTCTTAAACTAGATACTGAGTGTCCACTATGTGCCAGAGGGCTACTGTCAAGAATAAATAATTCAAACATAATGTAAGTACAACTGCAGAATTACATAACATGGGAACACAGAGAAAAAACCCACCTAACTTTGCAAAGGAGAACTGGGAGGAAATTTCAAAGATAAACTCTAGTCTAAAGGGGAATTTTTCATATGGACCAAGCGTAAAATTTTCTAGGGTGAAGAAAAACCATACAAACACAAGGAGATATAATAACCTTATTTAGAAAGTGCAAACTATCTATTATAACTGGACTATATAAGAAAGAAAGTAATTAGGGGACAGAAAACTTGGCATTTGCCAAGTTAACCTAGCAAGCAACAAGCAGAAAAGCATGTGACAGCCCATTGATGGGTGAACATAAGAGGAAGATGAAAACAGTAAAAACACCTCAAAATAGATATGAAAAAGCAAAAGCTTTTAACCTATTGATAAGCCTTAAAAATCACTGCCCAGAAGCTTAAGTCATACAAGTAGAGGGAGGTACTGAACAGACACCCAAACTAGTGACAATAGCAACTCTGCCACTTGTTAAATGTCTGACCTAAAGCAAGTCACTTATTTCAGCCTCAGTTGTGATTATTAAATTATATAATGTAAGGGAATATATTGTGCAAACTGTAAAGAGACATACATCTGTTCAAATTGGAATTCTATATAAGTGTTCTCTCTAAAGTAGTTCTTCTTAATATAAAACAGAGTTGGTTACTAAGGAAAATAATCACATTTCCAAAACCTATAACAATGCCATAAAACAAATAACAAAACATTTATGAGATTTATTAGATTTGCAAAACAAATAACTTCTTAATAGAATAACTTTTCTAAATTATTTGCATCAGCAGATCTAGTCCAATTAAAAAAAAACTTAGATATTCTATGTTCTTTCCCTCTGCATATCATAATAAATCAATCAACTGCATAAGCTATAATTTAATAATAAATAAAAATATATATCAACACAAAATACATTCATATATGGAAGGACAGCATAATAAAATATTTCAAATTTAGAAATAAAGTCCCACTGAGTATCCACTAATACCCAGGTAAGAGACTCTTTTTCTCCTTAGTAAATAATACGAACCTCATTTCCTTTCATTAAATTGTGAATAGGCTGAAGAAGTGTCTCTATTACAATGTTGTTATATAAGCATTCCACTGCACATTCTTTTTGATCACTGAGTATCCACAGAACTTCAGTCACCATACTTGCAGGAGAGTAATTCTCTAATAAACAATAAATATTTTTTAATACCAAAACATTAAATACTTAGAACTATTTTATGTTAGCTGTTGTTGTTCCAAAAAGTTCAACATCAAAGTTAATTCAGTACTTCAAAAGTCATACAACTCAATATCCAAAGGAAGATGTACTACCAAATTATAACCTGACTTAGGGGAATCTCAATTGGCTTAAAATAAAAAGTAAGCAAATGACAACAAACATGAATGCCAAAAGACGAGAATACAAAATTATTTACTGTCCAACATTAAATTACTGCTTAATATTAAAGATTTGGTCTGAAGCAAATGTACAGCTTTTTTCCTCCTAGAAAACATGTTTTTCTCCCTAGAATACACTTTTACCATACTCATATTTATTTTTTCTTAAATAATATACTCAAGTATTGAGCCTACAGGAAAATTACATTCAAACAAGAAAATGGGAAAAAGGAGGCAGAAGAGAATGGAAATTTCATAAACTTTTATAGACACTAGTATACTTCTTGTATTACCATAAAGCCAGTGAAAACAAAGATCATTTTTTAGATTTTCTTTCAAAATATAGTATATACAGGAAAACACAATACACAAAAGTTTAACATGGTTGGAATCATCACTGAATTAAATGATTTTCAGTTTCATAAATTGACAAATTTTCAGATATATAATCTAATATCCTCAAAACAATAGTTTTTAAGGTAAGATTGTCCTAGTAAGATACAACACTTTAGTATTTAGACACTGTATGTCTATGCATTATTGGTGTGTTTTATTATTAAGTGTTTTACTTTGGAAACTATTCTAACTTATGTTACAATATTCCATAGTCAATAAACACGCTGACTTCAGGTCAATATCTGACAAAAAGAAAATGGAAAAGGAAAGTTCAGTGATTTTTCAACCAGCTTCAAGTGAGAAACCCTGTTTACAAGGACAGATATTATTGATGAGCATATGGTCATTCTTTCACTCATCCAATCATCTTCTATTTATTAAGTGCCTAATACATACCAGACACTGTACTAGGAACTAACTATGAACAGAAAAGTAAATAAGACAAAAACAGTCCACATCATGGTAAACCAATATATAAACAAGTATTTAGAACAAAGAAAGATGATTTTAATCATAAAAGATGTCTATGCTGTAAGAGTGTATAGTCAGAAGACCTAAGCTAGTTCTTTATACATGTAAATGCTGTAAAGACAGAAAAAAGTCTGAGAACCACTGTGAAGATCAATAGGCTAATATAATTGCTTGGATAAAAACTATTAGTTTCATATTTTTTTAAATAGATTCAGAAGGTACATGTGTCAGCTTGTTACATGGATATACTGAATAATGGTGAGATTTGGGCTTCTGGTGTACCCGTCACCTGAACAGTGAACACTGTACTGAATAATAACCTACCAGTTGATAGATATGTTATAGCACTAATATACATCCCAAACCATTTTTTTCTTTGATTCACTTGAGTTCGTCTCAGAATTTGTGTCAGCAATTCTAGGGTTATTTCCTAGTTTTAGAACACTGTATGTCTATGCACACTGGTGTGTTTTATTATTAAGTGTTTTACTTTGGAAACTATTCTTGATACTCAAAGGAAAAATATAAGTTATTTAGAACATTTTTAAAAGCTAGTCAACAGCCATAAAACTAAAAGGCATTTTTCTGAAAAACATGAACGGTTTTTTCTTTATTCTTCAATAAAAGAAGACCCTGAAAAGATTGGAGTTTTGGATGTAAGCCAAAACAAGTGAGTTGATCAAAACATTTTAGAAAGTATAAAGAATGGAAAATAACAGGAAAAAAAAATCACATTATGACCTATCATCAAATATCCCCCAGTATCATGTCTTGAGAACATTTTGATCTTAATAAAGAACATCATTAAAATTCTCACTGATACTGATTCTAAATAAAAAGAGTAGTAGAGTGGAAACATCTTAAAACATCAGTGAACAAAATTAAATTTCATGGCTTACTTCAGGACCAATGTAATTTCTCTTAATACTGTATCTTAATGAAACCTACTTACCAAAGTAGGTCAGGCACTCAAAACATCTAGACAATAGAATACTTAAATATTTTTAGATGTTTTATATTTCTCTATTTAAAATAGAAACAGAATTACCTGAATGGGCAGCTGATGTCATCTTTGGACAACTTGGTGAGTAATAGATAAGTTGGGTAAAAAGAACAAGCAGATCTATGAGGGATACCAAACCTTTAAAAAGAAAATAAAGAGAAAATTAATTTCTAGCATATTCTTTCAACTTAAGAGAAATTTAACTGAGCTTTCATCCATCTATATAGTTGAGGTTTTGTACAGACTACGAGGCAATCAGGAAGAAGGGAGCTATAATCTCAGATAGAAGACTCCATAACAAATTACATACAAATTAAAACACGGCAAGGCAAGCAATGCTGTAGGTGCTATGTAAAGGTACAGTTTTACCACTTATTTCGAACCAATCACTTAAGATAAACCTATGCTAGGAAGATGTATGAATCTGATTAAGGCTATTTGAGTTTATTCAATTAGGAGTAGTAAAATTCAGCTTACCAAGTTGGTCCAGCTAACTTATCTACACAAAACTGTAGAACAGGGCTTAGCAAACTTTCTCTTTAAAGGACTCCAGAGTAAATATTTTAGATTTTGTGGCCAAATGGTCTCTGTCACAAATACTCAAGTCTGCCATGGTAGCACTAAGTATATGTAGATGATATGCAAATGAATGAGTATGGCTATTTTCCAATAAAACTTTGTGTGCACTAAAATTTAATGTATATTTCTTACATATCACAAAACACCCTTTTCTGAACAATTTAAAAAGATAAAAACCATTCTTAGCTCACAACTGTACAAACAAGATAGTGGACCAAATGTGGCCCATAGACAAAATTTATCAACTCTTGCTATAGAGGCTTACATTAAAAGAGTCTGGTGAAATCACATGTGAAACTTAAAGGTGAAAGTTGACCTATGCTAATATAGTAGAATAAACCACTACAAACTCAATTTTCAGGTGGTCTATAATATCTGGTAGGCCAAAATGTAGATGTTAAAAGTCAATATAAAATGATAAATAAATTATAGACATATAAATGTAAGCTGAATACTGCATCAACATCACAAGTATACATTAGTATATTTCTGTAAAGTTCAACAGTATCCTATAAAATAATAGCTTTTTTATTAAAAGTCAATTACCTACTGAGTGCTCATTATGCATAGAATTATGTGGCACTACCATGGGAACTACAAGAGATGTATATAAGGCAATGTCTTTTCTCAAGGAGCTCACAATCAATGAGAAGAAAAGATTTAGAGAAATAAAAAAGCTACAAAACAGTATAAAAGAGTATTCAAAATAAATATACTGTGTAACGGGGTCAGCAAACTATAGCCATTGTGGGCTGATTTCATAAGGCTCACAAGATAAGAATGGATTTCACATTTTTTAAATGTGTCAGAGGTCCACAAAACCATGCCCAGATTCAATGATTCACTAAGAAGACTCAGAGGATTCAACATGTAACTGTATTCACAGCTATGATTTATTATAACAAAAGGATACAAAGCAAAATCAAAGGGCAAAAGTGCATGGGTTGAAGTCCAGAGCTAACCAGTATAAACTTCTAAGTGTCCTCTCCTGGTTGAGTCATACAGAATACATTTAATTATTTCAGCAGCAAGTTATGACAACACATGTGAAATGTCATCTACCAGGAAAATTCATTAGAGACCCAGTCCCTTAGGTTTTTGGGGGATCTAAGCATGTAACCACACTCTACCTAGCACATGCCAAAATTTTAAACTCCCAAAAGAAAACCAGGTACGAGGGGTGGAGCCAAGATGGCCAAATAGGAACAGCTCCAGTCTACAGCTCCCAGCGTGAGCGACGCAGAAGACGGGTGATTTCTGCATTTCCAACTGAGCCTTGAAGAGAGTAATGGTTCTCCCAGCAAGCAGCTGGACATCTGAGAACTGACAGACTGCCTCCTCAAGTGGGTCCCTGACCCCCGAGTAGCCTAACTGGGAGGCACCCCCCAGTAGGGGCAGACTGACACCTCACACGGCCAGGTACTCCTCTGAGACAAAACTTCCAAAGGAACAATCAGGCAGCAACATCTGCTGTTCACCAATATCCGCTGTTCTGCAGCCTCTGCTGCTGATACCCAGGCAAACAGGGTCTGGAGTGGACCTCCAGCAAACTACAACAGACCTGTAGCTGAGGGTCCTGACTGTTAAAAGGAAAACTAACAAACAGAAAGAACATCCACACCAAAACCCCATCTATACGTCACCATCATCAAAGACCAAAGGTAGATAAAACCACAAAGATGGGGAAAAAACAGAGGAGAAAAACTGGAAACTCTAAAAATCAGAGCGCCTCTCCTCCTCCAAAGGAACGCAGCTCCTAACCAGCAACGGAACAAAGCTGGATGGAGAATGACTTTGACGAGTTGAGAGAGGAAGCCTTCAGAAGATCAAACTACTCCAAACTAAAGGAGGAAGTTCGAACCCATGGCAAAGAAGTTGAAAACCTTGAAAAAAAATTGGATAAATGGCTAACTAGAACAACCAATGCAGAGAAGTCCTTAAAGGACCTGATGGAGCTGAAAACCAATGCACGAGAACTACGTGACGAATGCACAAGCCTCAGTAGCCGATTTGATCAACTGGAAGAAACGGTATCAGTGATGGAAGATGAAATGAATGAAATGAAGCGAGAAGAGAAGTTTAGAGAAAAAAGAATAAAAAGAAATGAACAAAGCCTCCAAGAAATATGGGACTATATGAATGGGACTATATGAAAAGACCAAATCTACGTCTGATTGGTGTACCTGAAAGTGATGGGGAGAATGGAACCAAGTTGGAAAACACTCTACAGGATATTATCCAGGAGAACTTCCCCAACCTAGCAAGGCAGGCCAACATTCAAATTCAGGAAATACAGAGAACGCCACAAAGATATTCCTCGAGAAGAGCAACTCCAAGACACATAATTGTCAGATTCACCAAAGTTCAAATGAAGGAAAAAATGTAAAGGGCAGCCAGAGAGAAAGGTCGGGTTACGCACAAAGGGAAGCCCATCAGACTAACAGTTGATCTCTCAGCAGAAACTCTACAAGCCAGAAGAGAGTGGGGGCCAATATTCAACATTCTTAAAGAAAATAATTTTCAACCCAGAATTTCATATCCAGCCAAACTAAGCTTCAAAAGTGAAGGAGAAATAAAATTCTTTACAGACAAGCAAATGCTGAGAGATTTTGTCACCACCAGGCCTGCCCTAAAAGAGCTCCTGAAGGAAGCACTAAACATGGAAAGGAACAACCGGTACCAGCCACTGCAAAAACATGCCAAATTGTAGAGACCATCAAGGCTAGGAAGAAACTGCATCAACTAACAAGCAAAATAACCAGCTAACATCATAATGACAGGATCAAATTCACACATAACAATATTAACCTTAAATGTAAATGGGCTAAATGCTCCAATTAAAAGACACGGAGTAGCAAATTAGATAAGGAGTCAAGGCCCATCAGTGTGCTGTATTCAAGAAACCCACCTAACGTACAGAGAAACACATAGGCTGAAAATAAAAGGATGAAGGAAGATCTACCAAGCAAATGGAAAACAAAAAAAGGCAGGGGTTGCAATCCTAGTCTCTAATAAAACAGACTTTAAACCAACAAAGATTAGAAGAGACAAAAAAGGCCATTACATAATGGTAAAGGGATCAATTCAACAAGAAGAGCTAACTATCCTAAATATATATGCACCCAATACAGGAGCACCCAGATTCATAAAGAAAGTCCTTAGAGACCTACAAAGAGACTTACACTCCCACACAATAATAATGGGAGACTTTAACACCCCACTGTCAACATTAGATGGATCAACAAGACGGAAAGTTAACAAGGATATCCAGGAATTGAACTCAGCTCTGCACCAAGCAGACCTAATAGACATCTACAGAACTCTCCACCCCAAATCAACAGAATATACATTCTTCCCAACACCACACCGCACTTATTCCAAATTGACCACATAGTTGGAAGTAAAGTACTCTTCAGCAAATGTAAAAGAACAGAAATTATAACAAACTGTCTCTCAGACCACAGTGCAATCAAACTAGAACTCAGGATTAGGAAACTCACTCAAAACCGCTCATCTATATGGAAACTGAACAACCTGCTCCTGAACGACTACTGGGTACATAACAAAATGAAGGCAGAAATAAAGATGTTCTTTGAAACCAATGAGAACAAAGACACAACATACCAGAATCTCTGGGACACATTCAAAACAGTGTGTAGAGGGAAATTTATAGCTCTAAATGCCCACAAGAGAAATCAGGAAAGATCTAAAATTGACACCCTAACATCACAATTAAAAGAACTAGAGAAGCAAGAGCAAACACATTCAAAAGCTAGCAGAAGGCAAGAAATAACTAAGACCAGGGCAGAACTGAAGGAAATAAAGACACAAAAAACTCTTCAAAAAATCAATGAATCCAGGAGCTGGTTTTTTGAAAAGATCAACAAAATTGATAAACTGCTAACAAGACTAATAAAGAAGAAAAGAGAGAAGAATCAAATAGACGCAATAAAAAATGATAAAGGGGATATCAACACCGATCCCACAGAAATACAAACTACCATCAGAGAATACTATAAACACCTCTACACAAATAAACTAGAAAATCTAGAAGAAATAGATAAATTCCTCAACACATACACCCTCCCAAGACTAAATCAGGAAGAAGTTGAATCTCTGAATAGACCAATAACAGGCTCTGAAATTCAGGCAATAATTAATACCTTGCCAACCAAAAAAAGTCCAGGACCAGATGGATTCACAGCCGAATTCTACCAGAGGTACAAGGAGGAGCTGGTACCATTCCTTCTAAAACTATTCCAATCAATAGAAAAAGAGGGAATCCTCTCTAACTCATTTTATGAGGCCAGCATCATCCTGATACCAAAGCCTGGCAGAGACACAACAAAAAAAGAGAATTTTAGACCAATATCCCACATGAACATCGATGCAAAAATCCTCAATAAAATACTGGCAAACCAAATCCAGCAGCACATCAAAAAGCTTATCCACCACAATCAAGTGGGCTTCATCCCTGGGATGCAAGGCTGGTTCAACATACACAAATCAATAAACGTAATCCAGCATATAAACAGAACCAACGACAAAAACCATATGATTATCTCAATAGATGCAGAAAAGGCCTTTGACAAAATTCAACAGCCCTTCATGCTAAAAACTCTCAATAAATTAGGTATTGATGGGACGTATCTCAAAATAATAAGAGCTATCTATGACAAACCTACAGCCAATATCATACTGAATGGGCAAAAACTGGAAGCATTCCTTTTCAAAACTGGCACAAGACAAGGATGCCCTCTCTCACCACTCCTATTCAACAATAGTGTTGGAAGTTCTGGCAAGGGCAATCAGGCAAGGGAAAGAAATAAAGGGTATTCAATTAGGAAAAGAGGAAGGCAAATTGTCCCTGTTTGCAGAAGACATGATTGTATATCTAGAAAACCCCATCATCTCAGCCCAGAATCTCCTTAAGCTGATAGGCAACTTCAGCAAAGTCTCAGGATACAAAATCAATGTACAAAAATCACAGGCATTCCTATACACCAATAACAGACAAACAGCCAAATCATGAGTGAACTCCCATTCACAATTGCTTCAAAGGGAATAAAATACCTAGGAATCCAACTTACGAGGGACGTGAAGGACCTCCTCAAGGAGAACTACAAACCACTGCTCAATGAAATAAAAGATACAAACAAATGGAAGAACATTCCATGCTCATGGGTAGGAAGAATCAATATCGTGACAATGGCCATACTGCCCAAGGCAATTTATAGATTCAATCCCATCCCCATTAAGCTACCAATGACTTTCCTCACAGAATTGGAAAAAACTACTTTAAAGTTCATATGGAACCAAAAAAGAGCCCGCATTGCCAAGTCAATCCTAAGCCAAAAGAACAAAGCTGGAGGCATCAGGCTACCTGACTTCAAACTATACTACAAGGCTACAGTAACCAAAACAGCATGGTACTGGTACCAAAACAGAGATATAGACCAATGGAACAGAACAGAGCCCTCAGAAATAATGCCGCATATCTACAACCATCTGATCTTTGCCAAACCTGACAAAAACAAGAAATGGGGAAACGATTCCCTATTCAATAAATGGTGCTGGGAAAACTGGATAGACATATGTAGAAAGCTGAAACTGGATCCCTTCCTTACACCTTATACAAAAATTAATTCAAGGTGGATTAAAGACTTAAATATTAGACCTAAAACCATAAAAACCCTAGAAGAAAACCTAGGCAATACCATTCAGGACATAGGCATGGACAAGGACT
This sequence comes from Homo sapiens, assembly GCF_000001405.40. Lineage (NCBI taxonomy): Eukaryota > Metazoa > Chordata > Mammalia > Primates > Hominidae > Homo > Homo sapiens. The sequence goes on from NC_000006.12 coordinate 121,290,098, forward strand.
TCATGTCTAAAACACCAAAAGCAATGGCAACAAAAGACAAAATTGACAAATGGGATCTAATTAAGCTAAAGAGCTTCTGCACAGCAAAAGAAACTACCATCAGAGTCAATGGGCAACCTACAGAATGGGAGAAAAGTTTTGCAATCTATTCATCTGACAAAGGGCTAATATCCAGAATCCACAATGAACTCAAACAAATTTACAAGAAAAAAACAAACAACCCCATCAACAAGTGGGCAAAGGATATAAACAGACACTTCTCAAAAGAAGACATTTATGCAGCCAAAAGACACATGAAAAAATGCTCATCATCACTGGCCATCAGAGAAATGCAAATCAAAACCACAATGAGATACCATCTCACACCAGTTAGAATGGCGATCATTAAAAAGTCAGGAAACAACAGGTGCTGGAGAGGATGTGGAGAAATAGGAACACTTTTACACTGTTGGTGGGACTGTGAACTAGTTCAACCATTGTGGAAGTCAGTGTGGCGATTCCTCAGGGATCGTGAACTAGAAATACCATTTGACCCAGCAGTCCCATTACTGGGTATATACCCAAAGGATTATAAATCATGCTGCTATAAAGACACATGCACACATATGTTTATTGCGGCACTATTCACAATAGCAAAGACTTGGAACCAACCCAAATGTCCAACAATGATAGACTGGATTAAGAAAATGTGGCACACATACACCATGGAATACTATGCAGCCATAAAAAATGATGAGTTCATGTCTTTTGTAGGGACACAGATGAAGCTAGAAACCATCATTCTCTGCAAACTATCTCAAGGACAAAAAAACCAAACACCACATGTTCTCACTCATAGGTGGGAATTGAACAATGAGAACACATGGACACAGGAAGGGGAGCATCACACTGGGGCCTGTTGTGGGGTTGGGGGAGGGTGGATGGATAGCATTAGGAGATATACCTAATGTTAAATGACGAGTTAATGGGTGCAGTTTACCAACATGGCACATGTATACATATGTAACTAACCTGCACGTTGTGCACATGTACCCTAAAACTTAAAGTATAATAAAAAAAAAAAGAAAGAAAGAAAACCAGGTACTCCACATAAATCACACTGTACAGTTTAGGCGGTGATCAGTGCACAGTTGAGGCACTCATCAGTTCTAGGAACAATAGGAAATCTAAGTTCCTAGGTCCCAGCCAAGGTCCAACCTTGCAAGCTGGCCTTTCTAAGGATAGTTGTTTCAGGCCTGCTACATTAATTCTTTTTTGTACACACACAGAGAGAATATACAAAAGCAGTATGTGGTCAAAACAGCCCAAAATATTTACTATGTGGTGCTTTACAAAAAAAAACAAAAAAACAAAAAACAGTTTGCTGTTCCCTGCCATATACTATATTCTTAGTTATCATTTTTACTTCCCTTAAGAGTTTAAGTATATACTAACAGCATGTGCTGAAGTTTGATGGGGAAAAAGTAAATGAGACTTAGGGTAAAAATTATATGGTAATATACAAAATGACACAGGGCTTTGCAGTTTATAAAACAGTATTTGCAACCTCATTTCTCTGTAATCACAAAAATTCTGTAACTTAAATATTACCAATTTCACTATTCAATTTTTACAGATAAAGAAATGGAAACAACAAAGGTTAAGTGATTTTCCCAAAAGATCACTGCTAGTTTATAATGGAATGAGAACTTAAACAAGGTCTTCTAGCTCTAAATCTATATCTGGATCCCTAAAGGCTGAAGGAATAATAATAAAAAAAAAATACATGTAGAAAGAAGCACATACTGAAAACTAAAAGAAAACAAATACTTCAAAGTGTATAAGCTATCAATAGACTAAAAGGTATGTAGCTAAGTACCGTAGAAAGGAACATGCCAAATTTCCAAGTTTGAATACTCCACCATATATAAATCTTAGCATATCTTAACAAATTTATTTCTCCTAATTGTACTTACCTTTTTTATTCTTCAGCTTAATAGGAAATAGTTTTCTGCCTTGTTTATAGATCAATAATCTTCCTAAAAGGCACAGTGAGTGAATGAAATAAATATATTGTAATTCTTGTCCTAAGTAGTAGAAAGTTTTCTGCTTGTTTCCTTAAAAGAGAAGCAAACACGAATATTTATTTAGTATCATTATATTTTACAGTACCTGTCTTCATTCCCTTCTAGACATTAAACAAGGCTACAGGCTAGAATGGAGACATTACTGGTCAAAAATTTTTTAATTATTTGTTTTCCTTATTGTTTCCTAAGATCCTTTACAATAAATCCCCAAAGAAAAGCAATCATCTTAAAAAGCAGCCTCAGAAAAGAATAGTATACATATAGTGTCCATTCTAAAATAAATACCATAAGACTGCCAGAGTTATCTGCCACTGAAGAGGAACTTCAAAAGTAAGTTAAGGGCAGAAGAAAGTTAATAGAAAATGTTAGTTACTGTTTAATTCCACCAATTAAAAGCCAGTATTACAAAAGATCATATTAACAAGCACGTCTAAGTGAAATTAGAATCTCTACAATATAGACATCTCCCAATATGTATTTGTCATTCACATATATATACACAGAAGATAACAGAATTAAGACACCAATCTAAAACAAAACATCTCTTCTTTGCAGGCTAAGAAAAGGAAATATTGATTAGGGCGCATATGTATTTGCATACAAAGAAGCAAGACACTTAGAGAATTCACATCAGCAAAGTTCTATTTTTCTTAGTGAAAGAGTAAGCAAGGGCTCCTCCTCCTGAGAGAGAACTGGGCAGGAGCAAAGCAGAAGGTTCGACGAGACTGACAAGGGCTTGTAATAGCTGTTACGGAACGCTGAAGAAAGAACATCTAGGAGGATTCCAAAGCAACAGAGAGAGAGCAGCTGAAGCTAGAAAATATATATTTACTCTCAAGCCATGTCATATACTCTCTGCTCAATTTCTTGAGTACCAGAAAAGATAGAGAATTGAATTGACCTAAAGTTGGGCAACTGCAGGCAGAAAACTCTGAAAGAGAAATGAGCAAGAATTTTTTTAAAAACATGGCAAAAAAAAAAAATGTAATGAAGCACCCTGAGGTCTTTAGTAGATAGAGAAGAGAGCAAAACCATGAAGGACTAAGAAAGTAATGAGGGGAAAGGAGCTAAATATTACATTTTAATATCAAGAAATTAGAAAAATCTGTAAGTTTGTAAATGAGATAACATATGAACTTATATGTCCTTTTCCTTCTCTTGAAGAATAAATTATAACTTCTACACTTTCTCCTCCCCTACAAAACACTAGCTTTTGAAACCCATTAATTATTGGTCTATCACCATCTCCCTTGCTTTGAGTTAGATAAAGAAATTCACCTGAGAATGAAGAAAAGTATAAGATATCGTCATACTCTCAAAAGAGCTTACTATATGCTTAAGGAAACAATATAAAAACAACAGAACAATAAAAGCTATCAGGTTCACATGGCCAATTGTGTGATATAAGCAAGAGCAAGAAAAATTCAGAATAAGCAGGGAGGCCTTGAAATTTAAAATACAGTTTCTGCAGGGCGCGGTGGCTCATGCCTGTAATCCCAGTGCTTTGGGAGGCCAAGGTGGGTGGATCACAACGTCAGGAGTTCAAGAGCAGCCTGGCCAGCACAGTGAAACCCCATCTCTACTAAAAATACAAAAACTTAGCCAGATGTGGTGGCAGGCACCTGTACTCCCAGCTACTTGGGAGGCTGAGGCAGGAGAGTCGCTTGAACCCAGGAGGCAGAGGTTGCAGTGAGTCCAGATCATGCCACTGCATTCCAGCCTGGGTGATACAGCGAGACTCTGTCTAAAAAAATAAATAAATAAAATACAGTTTCTTCTTTCATGATAAATAAGATATCTATTAGTGTAGGGAATTACAGATGGGGCAGTAGGAGTAAAAATAATGTTGTATAGGCATTGGAATGCAAAAAAAAGACTAAGAGAAGATTCATTTTAGTCAATAACTACAGAAGAGATTGTATCAAGAAATTGGGGCCAGATTACGAAGCATCCAAGACATTTTAGCTCAGACACAGAATAAGCAAAGAAGGATCACGGGGTGACACAGGGTGTTCAAAAATAAAAACAACATTTTATGGAAGTTTTTTTCCCATTAAAGTGCATATATGCCTGATTAGATGACTGATACATTATTGAAGGGGAAAGGATGGACTGTATATTGTTGTAATATAACAGATTAGGATACATGCCCTAGTATGAATCAAAGAACTGCATCTAATAAGAATCAGTATGGTTGTACATTAATTTCAAATGTAGATCTGTTATAAAAAATAATGATTATAGTGTATCTTATAAATGTGTAAAATATATTTTACAGCATCATTAGTAAAAGTGACCTAATTTACCATACTAACAATCATTAAAAAATAAAAGTTCCTACTAAACTGTATTTACTAATAAAATTTACCATTTTTAAAAGTATGTAATAGAGGAAATAATACTTACTGCAATGCTTTGAATGTCCCAAAGTTTCATCAGCTTTCCTAGTCTTACACATTTCAAAGTACTGAACACACTGTTGAATGGCTGTAGTTACCTGATGAAATAATAAGTTATTAATTCCAGAACTTTGCAGCCCTCAAGTCCAAGAATTAAAAGAAATTAGTCAAAGCTGTAAAAATACTTTGGAGAAATATTTGAGAAAAATATTTAGTACAGTACCTTTCTAGCCCTTAAAGCTCAGCCTCCTCAATTACATTTTAACTATGGCATCACTCTGGTGAACACTGTGAAAATATTTGTGGACCAACAAATATGATAATGTTATAATGTTGGTGTCATTGGACAGAAATAAATATGTAATTTATATTTTATAGTGAAAAACGCAAAAACTCTGTGGCCATTGCCATAACTTTAGAAACTATCTTGTCCAGTTCCTTTGCCTTAGAATCTTTTCCTCCTACCCAGCTAGCAAAATATCAAGTGGATCAAGTCTTTATTTCCATCTCAAATACCAGAAATGCTAAAAACTGATAAAAGAAAATTCTCATAATTCAAAGAAAAGAGTCACAATAAAAAATGATCTCCAACCCCTACTGTACTCAGTGATTCTCCTATTAGTCTCCATTCTAACTCCTCCTCTCATTCTCCACAAGCAGAGACTTCAAACCTTCTCCCCTTTCCTCAGCACCTGCCTACCCATCGATGGCCTCTTATCCTAATTCCAAAAAAAAAAAAAAAAAAGCCACCAGTGATATACGGTGTGATAATTATTAAATCTGGTAACAAGGCAGTTGTTGGTGACCTTGAAAAGATCACTTTCAGAGGAGTTTGGTGAATAAAGCCAGACTATACCAAATAAAGGAATAGGAAGTGAAAAAGTAAAGGCAGTTAGCATAATTTTTATTTTCAGGAAAGACAGCTGAGAAAAATTTAAAAAATAGACCAGCAACTGTATCTTAGAGTCAAGATTAAACTCTTTTTCAGCTAAGAAGGATATGGTTATGCTTAAATGTTACTGGGGGAAGCCAACAGAGGGGAAGAGTTTGACTATATAGGAGAGAAAGGGGATAGTTGATAGAAAAAAAAAATACACAAGAGGAAGAAGCAGATGGAATCCAAGTGGAAGGAATGATTAATTAAGCTTTAGATAGGAAAAAAATAAAGGTTTGAAAAGAAGCAAGTTCATAATTGTAGCGCCAAGGAATCAATGGATTTTCCCATCTCATTCTTTCTTATGGCCTCAGTTGTATGCAGAAAAGAGGTAACATGGCAGGACTTCTGTCTTTAGAAAGGCCTCCTTACAAGGTGGGATTTTGATAGCATCTAGGAACTTGGATTTCAGGAGGGCTCTCATCATTCTGAGAACTGAGAATGGCTGACAATGTTTGCACAAATAATGTGGTTTATGAGGAATACCTGCTTTCCTTCTAGGAGTCTTGGACCCTGGTATGTACCAGGCAGAGGGTTTCTATGTGAACAGCACCCCCACCTCAAAAACAAAAACCAGGCACTGAGTTTCTAATGAGCTTCCCTGGTATATAACATTTCACATAAGTTGCCACAATTCAATGCTGAAAGAGTTAAGCATGTCTTATGTGATTCTAGTGGGAAAAAGACTCTTGGAAGCTTATACTTTCATATCTTCCATACTTCACTCAATGAACTTTTTCCTTTTTGCTGATTTTTCTTTGTATCCTTTCATTGTTATAAATGACAGCTGAGAGCATAACTATATGCTGAATCCTACGAATCCTTCTAGCAAATCATCAAACCTGGGGGGTTGTCTTGGGGACCCTCCCCCTCCCATATCTACCTGTCTTTTCTAAATCAAACGTCAGGGATCCAGACCCATGCCTCCTAGAAATCTGCATTTCAAATATGATTAAACCTACCAAATCTAAAAATCATTATCTTTTCCAGCAAATGTTTGCCTCCTACTGTGTTACTTATCTCAATGAATGACATTAGTCAATTGTCTGAGGCCTCAATCACAACCCCCTCATTCAAAAGTCCTCTAAATCCTACATTCTAAATAAAGTATTTTGAGTCCATCCATTTATCCCAATTCTGTCTTATCCTTCTTCCATGGTTCCATCATCTTTTGCTTGCACTATTATACAATGTCTTAAACATCGTTTTGCTTCAATACTTCTCCTTTGACCCATTTTCTAACAAAAAACAAAACAAAACAAAGTGGATTAAAATAACAACTGACACTTTAGGAAACTTTTGACATGAAAAATTTATAAAATAATACACTTAAGAGAAGCTCTTAAGAATTAGAAGACAAAAGAACAAACAATAGTCCGCTTCTTTAACTGAAAACTCAAAACACTGTCTCCAAAATAATCTCTCTCAAAGACTCTTTCGTTCATTTGAACCTTTAGAAATCCACCCTCCTTGCATCCATTACTACCCAGCTTTATCTTCACCATCCACTTACTTACACTCCCTTCTTTTCCTTATACTCTTTCCCTTATATTTTCTTAAACATGCTATCTTTATTTGAGAAAAGGTAGCAATCACAGGAAAGAAAAGGAATAATCTCAGGACATGAACAATCACATTACATGACATCCCTTTAAACCACAGTAGCAGAAAGCAGATCTATAGTAGGTGAATTTAAAGAGTCAAGTTGAGAGTATAATGAATGATTTTTCTAACCCCTGTGAAAATAGACAGAAATTTGCTATAAAACTCAGGATTGTATTTGATACTTATTGCCCTATACTATCAAATATATACCAGCCAGTTCATTTAATTGTTAACCCCTAAGACAGAAATTTTAAAAAAGGTTAAATACAATAAGACACGAAAAACCAAGGGAGAATTTAAATAACCAAGCCGTCAAGTCATTTTTAAAATGACTTTCAGAGAGCAGTAAAAATGGCACTACATAAAACCATTTCAGAAACCATTCCTTTAGGGGTTGACTGAATCAAGATTCAAACTGTTAAAAATTAAAGGTTAAATATTTAGGCCGACAGCCAAAACTTTTAACCAGTTCATGTCTTTCAGATTCTATGGGAACAAAGACTATCTTAACTTTTTCAGGGATATCTATAAAAAACCAACAGCATATACAAAAATTGATAGCTTAATGCTACCTACTAAAAATGTCATAAACATAAGATAGAATAGAACCACACAAATACAGTAGCCACCAACCACATGCCTATTTAAATTTAAATTAATAAAAACTAAATAAAATTAAAAATACAGTTTCTCATTTACTCTAGTCTCATTTCAAGTTTTCAGCAGTCATATGTGGCTTGTGGTTACCATATTGTACAACACAGATATTTCATCATTGCAGAAAACGACATCAGAGAGCACTGATGAGAAGCTAGAGGAAATACATCAGCAGGTCATCATGCTAAACAGGCTGCTATGAGTAAAGTTCTTATACAAGAATCTCTTTTAGAACAGAAACACAAATGGATGGAGTGGTCTGCAATTTCCATCACAGATGCACAAAATTTGACCCTTGATTCTGAAAATACAATGGGAATAAACAGATCTTGCATCATTTTCCCCAATGTTTATTTTCAAAAGTGGGGCCAAGTTTACTTTTAAAAAATAAATATAAAATGAATAATATTTTGATATTTTGTAAATGTAGGAAAGCTTTTTAGTGCAAATGAGGTTTAAGTTGAAATGTCAAACAAGTTTGACATACTATATACATAAAATATTTGACTAAGTTGATAAAAATATTAAGATGATTTATAATGACATAATTCCATTTGCAGGTTAAAAGTCAAGGTATAGTTAACTTTTCAAATAAGAAACCAATTTTAAGAATTAATCTATAAAAAACCTTATTTGAAATACTTTCACTGGGGCCTCTGTGATAGCAACAGTGAGTCATTATCTGTACATAAACCATGGGGAAAATCATCCTGTTCTTTATTTTTCCTTTCTCTATTCTAGCAAGATCAGTCTATGCTCATAAAGCAACAACAAATTTTTATTTAAAATGGGAATGAGAGAAAAATCAAATGTGGAAAAACCTATTTAAATTCAATTTCTTTAAAAATTTTGAAGTATATTTTACCTTTACAAATAAATTCTTATCCTATTATTCAATATCCCTCTCTTCTTCTGCTGCTCAATTCTCTGGATTCTCAAACACACAACAATTATTGTTCTCCTTCCTTCATTTTATGCTCTACTGCACTCAACCAAAAATCACAATTCCGGAATCTTTTCTTCACCTGACTTCCAAACTCAAGGTTCTGCCTAACTACATAAAAGATGTTTATTGACCCAAAGCTATATCAGTATAACATTTGAATGTCTTAATAAATTTTGTGTTTTTCATTTTGTCAATTATTTATTAGACTTGCTGATTTCTTTTTAATTATTTTCAGTACCCTTACATTGTTCTACTAATAGTAACAAATGTAGATGATTTTGGTAACATATTTTAGAGTATTAAGTCTACATTTGGTATAACTCAAACCAATTATTGAAAATGCAAAAGTATTTATCATTTTGAGTTTTTCCATGTAATTTTCACTGAAAAACATGGGTCTATATTATAAAAGTAATGGCTTTATGAATACTTGATGTGAATCGAACTACATGCTACTGCTTAAAAATATGGCTTCTCTCAAACTAGCTTGTTATATATAGAAGCCAATTTACTATATATATAAAACATATTTTCTAATTGTTATCCTGACTGCATTCATTTTAAGTCTCTATTTTTATCCCTTTATGTGTCACAGGATGGTAGTTTAAGATCACATAAAAGGCGAATTGCTTCATTATCCAATATTAATTATCACCACACAACTTTGCATAGTCAAGTTATTACATCATATATATTCTGGTGATATTATTTCTCAACATAAAAACAGAATTACAGACTTACCAGAGACTTATATTTCGTTTCAAGAAGTCTTAATACTGTAGTTCTGCTATAATGTGCATGCTAAAATTAAAAGGAAATGATATTTAATACTCAAGCTGTGCCACTCAAAATCTATTTTTCCTGCATGATTTCTAATGACAACATCATAAATCACACAATAGCTTAGGTTTAAACCCTTATAGTCAATGACAGACAGGTGTTTATGTGTGCATTGTATTAGGAGCAAAGCAATCACAAGAATGCAAATCGTATCAAAAAACTTGCAGATCATTTAGTGACTGACCAGTAGAAGAACATTCTATCCATCGATTGTGTCCAATTTCCATGCTAAACTATTTTAAAACCACCACCAAAAAAGTATACCTATGACAGAATCCAAAAAAAGATACATAGTGGGGAAAAAAAATTAAAAAGCACAACTCTTATACTGAAGAGGATACTGTACGGTCTACATGTGCAGAAATGTGCCAACACTGAAATGCTCCAAAGTGACAGTACCCTAATCATTTTCTGCCAACCATATTTAAAAATGATTCAAAGTGTCAAAAGAGCTTTAAATCTCTCCTTGGAGCAAAATATAGATGTAATTAAAACATGTAAATGCATAGCATTGTACAAAGCCAGGGAAAACTATAAATATTGTTTAGCTGGATTATATAAGATATCATTAGTGTTCAAAATATAGTTTCTTCATTTCACTTAGGAATAAAAATATTGGCCGGGCACAGTGGCTCACACCTGTAATCCCAGCACTTTGAGAGGATGAGGCGGGCAAATCACGAGGTCAGGAGTTCGAGTATGGTCTCGAAATGGCCAATATGGTGAAACCCCTCTCTACTAAAAATATAAGAATTAGCCAGGAGTGGTGGCATGCATCTGTAGTCCCAGCTACTCAGGAGGCTGAGGCAGAAGAATCGCTTGAACCCAGGAGGCAGATGTTGCAGTGAACCGAGATTGCGCCACTGCACTCCAGCCTGGGTGACAGAGTGAGACTCCATCTCAAAAAAAAGAATAAAGCTTTGACAAACCTAACAAAAACAAGCAATGAGGAAAGGATTTCCTATTTAATAAATGGTGTTGGGAAAACTTAACTCAAGATGGATTAAAGACTTAAACATAAGCTCTAAAACCATAAAAACCCTAGAAGAAAACCTAGGCAATACCATTCAGGACATAGGCATGGGCAAAGACTTCATGACTAAAACACCAAAAGCAATGACAACAAAAGCCAAAATTGACAAATGGGACCTGATTAAACTAAAGAGCTTCTGCACAGCAAAACAAACTATCATCAGAGTGAACAGGCAGCCTATGGAATGGGAGAAAATTTTTGCAATCTATCCATCTGACAAAGGGCTAATATCCAGAATCTACAAAAAACTTAAACAGATTTAGAAGAAAAAAACTAACAACCCCATCAAAAAGTGGGCAAAGGATATGAACAGACACTTCTCAAAAGAAGACATTTATGCAGCCAAAAGACACATGAAAAAATGCTCATCATCACTAGTCACTGGAGAAATGCAAATCAAAACCACAATGAGATACCATCTCACATCAGTTAGAATGGTGATCATTAAAAGGTCAGGAAACAACGGATGCTGGAGAGGATGTGGAGAAATGGGAACACTTTTACACTTTTGGTGGGAGTGTAAATTAGTTCAACCATTGTGGAAGGCAGTGTGGCGATTCCTCAAGGATCTAGAACTAGAAATACCATTTGACCCAGCAATCCCATTACCGGGTATATACCCAAAGGATTATAAATCATTCTACTATAAAGACACATGCACACATATGTTTATTGCAGCACTGTTCACAATAGTATAGACTTGGAACCAACCCAAATGCCCAATGATAGACTGGATAAAGAAAATGTGGCACATAAACACCATGGAATACTACACAGCCATAAAAAAGGATGAGTTCATGTCCTTTGCAGGGACACGGATGATGCTGGAAACCATCATTCTCAGCAAACTTTCAGAAGAACAGAAAACCAAACACAGCGTGTTCTCACTCATAAGTGAGAGTTGAGCAATGAAAACACATGGACACAGGGAGGGGAACATCACACACCAGGGCCTGTTTGGGGGTGGGGTGCTAGGGGATGGATAGCATTAGGAAAAATACCTAATGTAGATGATGGGTTGATGGGTGCAGCAAACCACCATGGCACGTGTATACCTATGCAACAAACCTGCACGTTCTGCACATGTACCCTGGAACTTAAAGTATAGTAAAAAAATTTTTTTGAAAAATAAAAATATTAAACAGAATAATACAAGTCAAAACTTTTTCAGAATTCTAGGGAATAGAGGATTTTTGTATTGTTTTTCTTTTTTTTCCTTTTTTTGCTTTTTAAATAGAGATGAGGTTTTGCTATGTTGGCCAAGCTGGTCTCAAACTCCCAACCTCAAGTGATCTGCCCACCTTGGCCTCCCAAAGTGCTGGGATTACAGGCGTGACCCACCGCACCTGGCCGGGAATACAATTTTTAATTAAACATTCATTAAATTGTGTTTTGGTTAACCAAAGGTTAATCAAAACCTTGGGTTTTAAACCTTGTAGCTTAAAATGTTTTCAAAAACTATTAATCCTTTTTCCAACTTAATAATAAGAGAAGTTGATATAGTATTAAGCTATTTTTAATATTGACCATGTTCTGAAAAGAAATCCTCATAGTATATCTCTTAGACCAGGGTCAACAAACTACAGCCCTCAGATTAAATTCTGCCTAGACCCACTTTTGCAAAAAAAATTCACTGGAACAGTCAAGTCCATTCATTTACCTATTATGTATAGATGCTCTGGAGCTACAACAATTGGGATGAATAGCTACAATAGGGACTGTAGGCCCACAACGCCAAAAATATTTATGGTCTGGCTCTTTACATAAAAAGTGTGACAACTCCTGCCTTAGATGCAAAAATTATAGGAGGATGTAATGAATTTTCATGTATACTAGAACACACTTCAGAATGTGATTTTTAAATAAATTTGTACCCCGTTATCTTAAGAATCAACTCCCAGCAATAAGAATGTCAAATGAAAAAAAGTTAATTACAAAGTTAGTAAAATATGACTGATTTTGTTAAAAAAAAGATGACCTAAACAGATAAATATAAAAGTATATATAACATATCTACATGAAACAAAATCTTAACAGTTGTTATCCCTGTATTGTATAATTAGAAAAATTTAATTTTATTTAAGCTTTTACATATTTTGCATATTTTCTCAAATAATGATATAATTTGATAATCAAGAAAAAAATTTAACTGTTAGATGTAAGGAACAAAGGGTTCATCTTAAATTAATTTAATTTAATTGAGTAAACATGAATCACATACTAGACAGGCCAGGTAAGGGCTAACCACTAGAGACAGAATTGTGTTCTGGTTAATTGGGCATTTATGATACAACTTAGCAGAAGGCACAAAGCACCATTGCTAGATAACATCCAAACTGTGCTGAAGAGTAAATGAATGCCCCAACCCCTCTCTTCTCAAGTGCAAGAAATATAGTACCTAGGTGCCCAGTACAGATTGAGAAAGAAGACAATGTGAGCATAAAAGCCAGTCCTGTTGCTGCTATTGACAAACACAGACCTCTCTTAGTTAACAGAGGTTGAGGGAGGTAACAGTATAAAGATCTCTCTACTCTTACTAGTAGTTTCAGTTTCAGCTTCATAAGAAATTGCCAGGTTCAGGTATTAAACACATTCCCCAAACTTCAGGTTCAGGAGGAAGGCAAATGAAAGAATACTTTCAGAAATATCTCCTAAGCCTGAAAAAAAATACATATTGAATCCTTATGTTCTACCACATTTGCTTAAAATTTTTGAAGCTTTCACATTAAAGAAAAAATAGATTTTTGAATAGGTCATTCAGCTTAGATTCAAATGAAATATCACTTAAAATCCTATTCTGGCTCTGACACTTAATAGGTGAAAAATCTTGGGCAAGTTAACTTCTCCATATCTCAGTTACTGCATCTGAAAAATGGGGGTATTAATACCACCAACCTCGTAAAGTTTTATAAGAAATAAATGAGCTAACACATGTAAAAGTGATTAGAACTCTTAGCACACAGTATTCAAACATTAACTATTTATTAAAATGATATAGCAATGCACTAAAAGGTATAAAAATATTCTATTTTTCCTTACCATCCACTTTTTGAACCACACAGCCTTGGTATCAACTAATGCAAAAAAGTAGATCGGATCCAAAATCTTTTGTGAGACAACATGGCTTTGATTATGTTTAACTGTTAACAAGGACAAAGTACTCTCCACAATTTCTTCCATATACCTTAAAGTTTGGGAAAAAAGAAATACAATTACACATATAGTTCTGGTGGTATACTTTATATTCATGGAATGATAAAGTAGCATATAATCTTCAGAAACATTTTTTCTATTTCAGTAAATGACAGGTAGGATTCATACTCAATGTTTCTGCTTTAACTACAGGTTCTTTCTACTTCAACACTGGATCTGTGAATTTAACTTTCCTTTTCAGACTCACAGATTATCTTACAACTTAGTATAAATTTTAGAGCTGAAAGGAAAAAGTTTAAAGAATATTTAAGGAACTTGTCCAAAATGCAATAGCAAAGACCAATAAGAACCTAACGCAGACCTTCAAATCACTGATACATTAAAAAAAAAAAAAAACTAATGCTACATTTTTTTTACCTTGTGATAAATGATGTAAAGTGGTACCTGTATACAGTAATTCACATAGCTAAGTATAAAACATGACAAGCTGAAGAAAAATAAAAATAAAAATTTTATTAATCCCTTCCCAATCAGGTAAGTCCATTAAGACTGTCTTTACTCTTTCTGTCTGAAACGTATATGGGGCAGTAACACCGCTAGGTTTTATGCTGGCATACATTGGGAGGGGACTTACTTCTCTGGATGACGAATCCAGAAAGATGGAGCTTCTTTCTGATATTCATTTAGAAGACGAACCTACAAAGCAGTGCACAATAGTTCTCAAAAAATTAGCATCCTCAAATATAAAACTAAATAAATAAAAATGAAAGCATATTGTAGTAAATGGATACCTTTTTAAGTAAGCGAGTCATATTAGGATTAGTTATATCTACACCAGCTGAAAGAGTAGGAATATGATTTTCCCTAGAAAGAAAGTATGACTCCAAATACTTAGCTGAAAAAAAAGGGAAAACATAAAATTACATCATTCATTTACAGTGCTTTCTGAAAAAAATTATTTCCTATCCATTCTTAAGTACATGCAAATGACAAAAAACATTTTTAAATGTTTTCACAAACATACCTAAGCTTGTATAAATTTCCTTGGTCATATGTAATGGAGAAAGCAAAAATGTCTGTGCACAGAATTTTAAAATCCGGTCCTACGGAAATGAGACAGAAAATTTGCATCTAAGATCTCACAAGAATAGAATAGAGATGAAACATTTTTCACACAGTAAAAACTCAGAAAATAAAATAAATACAAATAAACCATTCAGAAACTAGAGTCAGAATGTACTTATTTAAAAAGGGCACACTCTGTGTCAGCAAAAATTAAAACTGACCAAAACTAATATGTGAATCTAATAACAGAAAGCTATTACTGCACAATCCGGTCATAGTATATACTGACATGGTGAGGAGGGGGTAAGGTGAGGTTTCATAGAGGAGACAATGTAAAGGTGTCAAACAAAGGAACAGAGTAGGCAGTACTAAATTTTTTTAACACCCCGTATTTCCAAATCGAAAATTCATCATTTTTAATTGCTTACATGGGTAGCTTCAGTAATTAGAGATTTAGAATTATTTCTAATAATTTTGCCTATTCCCAAGAAAATTACTCTATGTTTAAATTTTTACATTATTAAAACTCTAAAATAGAAACCATTAGAAGGTAAATAAGTTAAAAGTGGCAACAGATGTAGTTAGCATAATGCCTGGCACTAAGAGTTACTTTAAAATGGTAGCTATTATTATCCCTTTAATTATACCTACTTTATTAATATCATGATAAGATTAATCCTAATAGTGAAATTCAACTTTCCATTAAATAAAAACATAAAATTGCCTTAAATAGTCTAATCTGGGGGGGGATTAATAACACTGTTGATACCAGTTTAGATAATCCACTTACAAGAAATAGTTCCCCAAGTTACTGAAAATATCTTCTAATGGCCCCAAGAAATTCCTACTGAACAAAGGATATTAAATACTTTGGGAAGTCTATTTTTATAGTTGCAGCAACTGATAGGTATCTGTCATACTTTTCAACCCTATAGGCTTCACTCAGTTGCATGTAAGAGTCCTTTAGAGGAGGAGATGAAGAAATAGAATTGAACTCAAAAAGAATTTGGATCAAGCACAAATTTAAAATGAAAAAAACTCCATGCCTTGTTTTCTACTTCAAAATGACTAATTTTATTACCATCTCTCCTCTATAATAATTGCTTCCAATTTTATTAGCGTAAGTAATAAAACTGAACCTTGCTGCATAATAATTTAAAATGGCTACAATTTGCTATTTTGTAAAGTTATTTCATAATTTATAAAATAAAGGAAACCTATTCTGCTACTATTCTGTATTTATTAAGTAAAAGAAAAAATACGGGGAAATTTACAATTGCATCCGTCGTTAGAGAGCATGAAATGTTAAAGATAACCCTGAGATAATATGTTTTCACCTTGAAGTTCTTGGATCATTGAGCTGTTCCAGAAGTCTACAATACCCTCTGGTGTTAACAAGGTTGAACTGCATCCAAGTATTAGGTAAACACCTTCCCTTTATGAGAATTACAAACAGTGATTCCCAAACCACTTCTGTTTACCAGTATAATCATATCTTTATTAATGGTAGACAGTAGACTGATTTTAAATAGACAAACATATTGCGATACCTTAAATTTTTCTACAACTATTTATTTATCGTCTGTGTTATCTACTGAAATCTAAGTTCTCTGAGGGTGAAGATTTTGTGTCCTGTCCATGGTGTGTTCCCAGTGTCTAAACGAGAATGATACACACTGTAGATACTCAATATATATTTGCTGAACAAAGAGCAAAATGTAACTCTTCTGCTAATGCCTTAAATTCTATGCCAAACATCATATCGATTTTAAAGCCAAAACTATCTTCACTGATATATCAATTAGGAAGAAAAGATCCTCTATAAGGAAATCCAATTTGTGTTTAAAATGCAATTCTTGGATAATCAGGGGTTTTCTTTTCATTCCCATCATAGATACTACCTGTAGAATTACTGCACTTGTTAATGTAAAGCTTACTTTTCATCATATGATAACTGTTCCTAAAAAGTCATATGCAAACCAATTTTTAAATAAAATCATATCTACTGACTTCATAATTTTACAATTTTAGAAACTTTCTATATTTGCTTTATGATTCACCTCAAATTATTTTCTAAAATCTCAACATTAGTTTTCTAGCTTCTTTCTTTAAGCAGTTAAGCAATCTCTAAGTAAACACTTAAATACAAGAGGAAAATGTTTATAAGCCCTTTCGAATAAACCATAATTCATCATTTTTCATTCAAATTTTCATATACCATGAATCCTTTTAAAATATTTTTCTTTTTTTTTAATTTGAGAGTATCATAAAACAGCATCATTCAAAAGCAATGACACAGCCAGGCGTGGTGGCTCAAGCCTGTAATCCCAGCACTTTGGGAGGCTGAGGCTGGAGGATCGCTTGAGCCCAGGAGTTCAAGACCAGCCTGGGCAATGTGGTGAGGCTCCATCTCTACAAAAAATACAAAAATCAGCCAGGCATGGTAGTGCATGCCTATAATACCCAGCTACTTGGGAGACTGAGGTGGGAAGGTCACTTGAGTTTGGGAGGTTGAGGCTGAAGTGAGCTGTGATCATGCCACTACACTCTAGCCTGAGTGACAGAGCAAGACCCTGTCTCAAAAAACAAAATGAAACAAAAATAAAATACTAGGATATTCCTTTACAAGATAAAATGCACAAGGTAGCAGTGTATTATTTGGCAATGAAATATGACCATATTTTGACTCTAATCACAAAATTTTGTTAAGAAAAATTTTGACAATTAGAAAGCTGAAACTGAAGTTCCATAAATGTGTCAGCTACTATTAAAGAAAACTATCGGCCAGACACCGTGGCCCATGCCTGTAATCCCAGCACTTTGGGAGGCCAAGGTGGGCGGATCACCTGAGGTCAGGAGTTCGAGACCAGCCCGGCCAACATGGTCAAACCGCATCTCTGCTAAAAATACAAAAATTAGCCAGGCTTGGTGGTGGCATGCCTATAATCCCAGCTACTCAGGAGGCTGAGGCAGGAGAATCTACTTGAACCTGGGAGGCAGAGGTTAAAGTGAGCCAAGGTAGTACCAGTGCACTCCAGCCTGGGCAAAAAGAGTGAAACTCGGTCTCAAAAAAAACAAAAAAGAAAAGAAAAGAAAACTATCGTAACTATCATATTCTATTTATTTCCAGAATGGTGGGAAAACAAATTATTTTTAATATTTCTATAACCATTTTCTTACACTAAACACAGGATCAGGATCTGAAAGAGACACGGTCAGTTTTTCGCAGAGAGTAGTCCAATTTTCACAGTTGAGGACATCAGATGGAGGAGCTGAACATAATGTTTGCAAGGCTTCATATCTCACCTACAATTTTTTTAAAAGACTTTTATTAACACTCAGTCACTAAAATAATGCCACTTTTCCAAAACAATATTTAACAAACTACTAAAAGGTAAAGTCTGGATAATTTATAAAGAATGATTTATCAGATGCCTTTATATTAAAAAGCTCTTGAGAAATCATTTTTTAAACTAAGTGCTAAGCAGAGAAAAAAAACAGTTGCTGTTTGTGTAAAGCAAAAATTAAAATACTAAATGTGGTAGCAGATTTTAGGTATCATGTCTAAGAGGAATGGGAGGAAGAATGGTAGTTGAATCAGAATCACCAATGCAACATTTTCCAGTAGCCTTGTCCTACAGGCTTTCCCTATTCTAGGCCGTTCCTACAGTTTGAGGGCTTTAATTTCAAAACATTGCCCAGATATGCCCCTGGCAAAGCATTTCCATTCTAGGATATATGAACAATTCTCACAAAACAATCAGTTTGAACTTGTTTTTTCTGCTACACCATATTTTCTGGCCTTCTGACTACTTAGGTAGAAAAAAAAGTAAGTCTTTCAGCAGTGGGATGCAAAATTGTATTTCTGTATTTTCACAGAAAGCTTACTTCTTTTTTTTTTTTTTTTTTTTGAGACGGAGTCTCGCTCTGTCGCCCAGGCCAGACTGCGGACTGCAGTGGCGCAATCTCGGCTCGCTGCAGAAAGCTTACTTCTTAATCAGTCTTCTCAAAATGCAATCAGAATTCACTCAAAACAGTATGACCCAAGGGAAAGTAGTAGAGAATAGTTCCACTCCAATGAAGAATGGAACAAAGCTTTTCTCCCACTCAATATCCAAGTCGTGAATAATAACACACTAATTCCAGCCTCATCCTCAAAACCTGGTCATTTCCCAACTGAAACAACTAAAGCCTAGTCATTAAAAAGGTGAGGCCTAAGAGACAGGAGCCAAAACCTCAGCAAATCAGACACTCTGAACCAGGGCCCAACTTTTAGACAAAATAGACAAAGAATATACATATATTTGAAACTGTCTATATATTCATATGAAAGAACTCCTCAATATAACTTTATTTGTGATAGGCAGCAAGGGAAATATTGAGAGATTTAAGATTAGGAATTCATTTACAATGTTAAGTAATTTTTCCATTTCAGGAAATTTTTAGGAAAAAATGCCATTAAGAATTTACTACTTGCAGAAGCAAAATGTAGGTTTCTAAACAAGTATAGTTTCCAAATCATCCATTTAAATTGAAGGCAACAGGATTTTTATCATATAAAATTTAAAACTCATTTCCGATATTTTTGAAAGATGTTATTATTTACTATGAACCCAGAAAATAAATCATAATGCAAAATGTTGAGAAGAAAAAAATTATTCTTCTCTATGAGTTTTTTAAAAATTTCAGTAGGAGTAAATCACAACTATTCATTTAGTTTAAATTTAATAGTTTGAGAAAAATAATTTTAAAAATTGAGACCAAATGGCAAGATACGCATACCAATACATAAAAAGGCTTAGGTTAAAAAAAAAATCTTCAAAAATCCTATCATATTTTCTATTTCATGCTGACTTTCAAATGAAATAATTCTTCATAAACAGTGATTTGTACAATCTCTTAAAATATAAACAGACACAATTCAATATAATTGCTTCTCTTAAAAATCCTTTTTCTGGCCAGGCACAGTGGCTCACACTTATAATCCCAGCACTTTGGGAGGCCAAGGGAGGTGGATCACTTGAGCACAGTATTTTGAGATCTTCCTAAGTGATGTGACAAAACCCCATCTGTACAAAAAATACAAAATTTCACCAGGTGCAGTGGCGTGCATCTGTAGTCACAGCTACTTAGAAGGCTGAGGTGGGAAAATCACCTGAGCCTGGGGAGGTAGAGGCTGCAGTGATTCATGATTGCGCCACTGTGCTTCAGCCTGGGTGACAGAGTAAGACCCTATCTTAAATATATATATATATAAAATTTTTCTAAAAAATAAACAAATGGGTCAAAATTGCTCAGATAGTTAGGGAAGGCATGGGTAACTGCTGGTCAAAGGATACAAAATTTCAGTTAGGAGAAGTAAATTCAAGAGATCTACTGTATAACATGATGACATGATGACTATGTTAATAACAATGTTTTATTCTTGAAAACTGCTAAGAGAGTAGATTTTAAATGTTCTCACCACAAAAATGATAAGTATGTGAGGCAATGCATGTTAGAACAGCTCAACTTAGCCATTCCTCAGTGTATACATATTTCAAAACATGTTGTACAAGACGAATATACACGATTTTTATTTGATCATTAAAAATAATTATTTTAAAAAGCTGTTCACATTTTCTGAAAGTAAAAAAAGAATTAAAAATCTTTTTCTTAAGAAATGACTAACTACAATGTTACATATAAAATAACAGTGAAAGAACAGTTTGGGGGACAACTGCCTATAACTTTATCCCTTTGAAATTGATGCTGAAGATAAAAATTTCCTCTTCCAAACCACGACAATTCTCTGAGGAAAGCCTCCCTTATTCTGTGACTTTTCATTTGGACTTTAAAGTTTACCAGGGATATCAGTCCAGGATTGCCCATAATCATAAAGGCTTAGCCTCAAGGGAAACAACCTGGTTGCTACTGATTGTAATCTCATATATTGTAAATGTATGTTATCTGCATGAACTTGACAGCTATCCTTGAAACTTACCTCTTTAGGTTGCCCAGGATCCAACTGGTCTAAAATCAATTGTAATTTTCCTTGACAAAATTTGTAACTCTGTAACACAATTGTCAGGACATTCATTTATTTAGAAGGCTTTTAGAACTATTGCTATAAGTTATTTTTTCAATATAATTCCAAGCACAAAACACAATCCAGACAAGAGAAGGAGATGATCTATTTTGATTTGGCAGCAACTTAGAATTTTTCTTCCCAAGGCTTTTAAATGGGAACTGAATGTCCCAGTAGAAAGTGTACCTTCATGTATATGAAAACTATTATTTGCCAAGCAATTAAAGTATATATAACATTATAAGACTCAAAAGACACAAAGCCAAAATGCTGCATACTCAGAAATGTGAGATGAATGAAACAGACATAAACAAAACAAGTAAAAAAAGAGCTACCAATAGTACCCTAGGCACAGCTACAGTGCTGTTTGGACTGTTCTGTTCTCTTTCTTTCCTATACTTTTCCTTAGCCTTTCTCCATAGTTCTTTGGTGAAAAAACTCCTGAAGTAAAAACTTCCATCTATAAAAAAGTTTATAGTAGATTATAAGATATTTTGGAGAAAGAAAGGGTCTTTTTCCTACTAAAGACAATTTAAACATGTATAATATCTAAAACTTCATCTGAAAATAAAAATTATAATAGTAGGCTGGGCGCAGTGGCTCACACCCATAATCCCAGCACTTTGGGAGTCCAAGGCGGGCGGATCACGAGGTCAAGAGATCTAGACCATCCTGGCCAACATGGTGAAACCCTGTCTCTACTAAAAATACAAAAACTACCTGGGCATGGTGGCACGTGCCCGTACTCCCAGCTACTCGGGAGGCCGAGGCAGGAGAATCACTTGAACCAGGAGACGGAGGTTTCAGTGAGCCAAAATCATGCCACTGCACTCCAGCCTGGCAACTGAGTGAGACTCCACCTCAAAAAAAAAAAAAAAAATGTAAGGAAACAACAGATTCTGGCAAGGCTGTGGAGAAATAGGAATGCTTTTACAGTTTTGGTGGGAGTGTAAATTAGTTCAACCATTGTGGAAGACAGCGTGGCTATTCCTCAAGGATCTAGAACCAGAAATACCATTTGACCCAGCAATCCCATGCACACGTATGTTTATTGTGGCACTGTTCACAACAGCAAAGACTTGGAACCAAACCAAATGCCTATCAATGATAGGTTGGATAAAGAAAATGCGGCACACATACACCATGGAATACTACGCAGCCATAAAAAAGGATGAGTTAATGTCCTTTGCAGGGACTTGGATGAAGCTGGAAATCATCATCTGTCTTGGAACAAAAAACCAAACACCGCATCTTCTCACTCATAAGTGGGAGTTGAACAATGAGAACACATGGACACAGAGAGGGGAACATCACACACTGGGGCCTGTCAGGGAATGAGGGGCAAGGGGAGGGAGAGCATTAGGACAAATACCAAATGCATGCAGGGCTTAAAACCTAGATGATGGGTTGATAGGTACAACAAATCACAATGGCACATATATACCTATGTAACTAACCTGCACATTCTGCACATGTATCCCAGAACTTAAAGTAATTTTTTTAAGTGCTACATTAAGAATAAAAAAAGTCTATTAATTCTTTTTTTAAGATGGTGTCTTGCTGCAGCCCAGGCTGGACAGCAGTAGTATAATCATAGTTCAATGTGGCCTCGAACTCCTGGGCTCATGCAATTAGGGAAGCAGGAGCCTAGGAGAGCCACAGTGACCTCATTTTAAAGTCAACTCCAACTTGAGACTAACAAGGCACATTCCTTGCCAGTCACAATCCATGGTCCTAAGATGTTTACAGCTAAGGAACCAGCTTGGTAATTCCTGAAAGGCAAATTCCTACAACAGAAAGTCCAGATGTCTCAGTACACATAGCAATATATGCTATCAAGATAATTATAGTTATGCTTTGATGTACTTACATGCTAAAATGTCAAGGATAGTTTTCTTTAAATCAAGAGAAAAATAAATTGTGCCATGCTGTCAGCCCACTTGCATGTAGACACAGCTTAGTTTAGTCTTTACATAGACAATATAAGAAAAGCTTGTAAAAAAGATAGTGCGTTCCTCCACTTGCTTTCTGAGGACTCCCTACTCTGTAACTGAGTAGCTTTCAATAAACTATCTCCTCTCACTGCACTCTGCAACTTGCCTTGAATTCCTTCCTGCACAAAATCCAAGAACTCCCTCTTGGGTTCTGGGTCAAGACCACTTTTCCCGTAACAAAGCAGTCCTCCTGCCTCAGCTCCCCATCACTGGGAATACAGGCACACAATGCCATGCCAAGCTAAGGTGGTGTGTGTGTGTGTGTGTGTGTGTGTGTGTGTGTGTGTGTGTGTGTGTGTGTGTGTGTGTGTGTAGAGACCTTGTCTCTATGTTGCCCAGACTGGTCTCAAGCAATCCTCCTGCCTTGCTCTCCCAAAGTGCTGGGATTACAGGGATGAACTACCATGCCTGGCCTTAATTTTTTTTTTTTTTTTTTTGAGACGGCATCTCACTCTGTCGCCCAGGTTGGAGTGTTGGAGTGCAGTGGTGCAATCTTGGCTCACTGCAACCTCCACCACCCGAGTTCAAGTGATTCTTCTGCCTCAGCCTCCCGAGTAGCTGAAACTACAGGCACGCGCCACTATACCTGGCTGATTTTTGTACTTTTACCAAACAAACAAGCCAGCAAGCAAAAATAAGTTCACATCTGCCCCTACACATTCCTCTTCCAAATAATCCACCTGTCCCAGGCCTAACTCTAGGCAGCTGCAGAATCAATGCTACTATGTTCATCTTTTAAAAATCCTAGCTATCTTTCCCTTTCACTTCTACAGAAGTGAAATTCTGCAGAGATTTTTAAGATTTTATGACTCCATCTTTTTGTGCTTACAAAACAAATAATAATTAAAATCTTATCAAGTGAGGGTAGCCAGACATGGAGGAACTTCTGAAGTACAGGCTGGGATGTAGCTAATCCTACTGCTCTGAGTGATGTTGCCAAAAAAAGAGATAAGTGTCTTGCCATTTCTCAGCAGTAGTATAAAATCCTTACAAGCAGAATTCTTCACCAAAAAGAGCATTGTAGAGCTTTGAAGATTTTAGTAGAGGCCAGAAAACAGTTGTTGAACTCAAGAAATTCTGATTAAGATTTGAAGACTAATAGCATAAAATAAATTAGGAAAATTGAAAGGACATACTCTGAATGAGAGGAGAAAGGCCATGTACCCAATAAGGAAAAAAACCTACTCAAGAAAAATCTTACTGGAAGAATCCAAAGCCTAGCAACAAAATAGAGCTCAGGTTGTTCCCAGGAAAGACAGAATCTGTTTCTTTGCCTTTTCCAGCTTCTAGAGGCTGCCCTCATTCCTTGGCTCATGGCCTACTTCCATCTTCAAAAACAGCAATCACATCACTACAACCTCTATGTCAGCCTTCACAGCACCTTCTCTGACACTGACTCTCCTGGGTTTCTCTTACACAGACCCTTGTGATGAGATGGGTCCCGCCTGGATAACTCGAGATCATCCTGCAATCTGAAGGTCCTGAACTTAATCACATCAGCAAAGTCCCTTTTGTCATGTCATGTGACATGTTCACAAGTTCTAGGGATTAGGACATGGACATCTTTGAGAGGACCATTATTCTGTGTACCACAGGTACCAAAGGATGAGTTTCAAGGAGAAGTTGCTTGGAAAACAAAGGAACAGTGACTGCTTTAAACATGTTTGTGTCAGGCAAGAGTAATAGGTGACTATTATCCTAAACTCACCTGCATAAGGTATACACCCTGGGGTGAAGTTCCCTTGGAAGGTTATAAAATAGCTTGCACGCTATAAAACAGCACAATGCCCGTGCTGTACTATACTAATTACTGCGGAGGAAGAGAAAGACAGAAAAACTGCAAGAGGAAAGGATACAAATTCTGAAAGCTTAATGTATATCAGAGGTAATCCTCTAATTTCCCAAGCAGTTAAAAATGGCCCAGAGATGTTCAGTTTGAAATTATATAGGACCACAGCTGAGAAATTTTCTATTTGAGTGTGTCTCTGAATGGTGTCCATTTCAGCATTCCCTTTAAGAGATATCAACAATAAAAGCTAACCTGTATAAAGCAGTGTCTGTGTGCCAGGCACTGTTCTAAGCACAAGACATACATTAACTCAGTTAATCTTCTCAACATCCCTATACGGGAAGTAGTATTTTCATCCCCATTTACAAATGGGAAACACTACAGCACAAAGAAGTTAAGAAATTTGTCCAAGGCCACATCGCTGGTAAGCGGTGGAACCATAACTTACACCCAAGCTCTCTCCAGGTAGCTGGGAAAAGAATAAAAATAACTCGCTTTGCAGGGAGAGAGGCTAGTTTTAAACTCAAAGTCCCCCTCTCACTAGCTATTCAAGTTTGGGTAAATTACTTAACTATTATTAAAAGGCTCACTTTTTTCTGTAGAATGGACTAATAATACCTATAGTGAATATAAAGCTAAGTACAGGGACCAGTATATGGCAGGTATTATTATTATAGCTGGTATTATTATTTCTATCTTTCTGGCATTATTTTGCAGAGACTTGTTCCAGGTTTAATCACAATACCAAATATTTTCATAGCAATGCTCACAACTATGGTAATAACTACTTATCTCCCCTTTGTTCTTCAATATCCTCATACTTACACTAACAGTCTCCTGTTTTTCAATAATGGGTCAAAAGTCCAAATACAATCAGGCTGCAATTTTTTAAGTAATAACAATGAATTAAAGCCCATTCTATTCACAAAATGAAAGTGTTTCACTAATATCAAAACAGTAACATCAGCATTGTTTACAATGTTATTCATAGGAAAATTCAGACCTTTTTTTTCACCCCACAGCAAGAAACAACAATTTTGAAGGCATGAATAAGATTGTCAATATTTATTGGAATGAATAATATATTTTTAGAGATCTTTTCAATTCTGAACATATTCAGCCTCTCTTTGGTCAGCTATATGAAAGAGAGTCTCTTTTCACTATAAGCAAAAGTATACACAATATCTCCTAGAACTTGGACATACTGAAACAGCTTTCAGGACAGTTCTGGCACTCATATGTTTCTTCCCAAAAGTCCAGGGATACCATGCCTTCTTGATGGGCAGAGCTCACTTTCAACCCAATTAGTGCCTTCTAAAGCAAAGTCATATTTACAGGGTAGACACTTGAAAATTTATATATACCCTGCGGACATCCCAAAGAAATCCAGGGAAACTTAAAGCATGATTCCTCCTCAAGAACTGAAACAAAACAAGATAAAAAACAAGAACATCTTCTAAAATTATGACCCCATTTCTACCAAAGCTTTGCATTTTTCAAAAATCTATCATTTTAATGACTGGAAATAATTCAGCATTTGGAATTCGACAAGGTCTTAACTGCCAGCTATGAAATCAGTTCTATTTAGATCTGAATACCTGTACTTCTTAGAACAAATGCTCCATTATTTTTCTTATGTTCCCATTTCAATGTATTCAGGTGGTTCAGCAAATAAGTAAGAGCATATAATCTTGTGAGCCCCCAGAGTCATAAAATTGGGTTTTCTGTGCCTTTTAAGTCCAGAAAGTCCTTGATTTGAAGAAGCAACTCAATAAACTTACTAAACAAGCCATCTGACTGTATTAAACTAAAATCTCTATACCCCACCTTTTTCCACACAGTTCCTCAGCAAGAAATGATTAAGGGTTACAGCATGAAGAAAATTCACAATCTTTGTCACGTCCTCCATCACATCAGGTAATCAATTTGACTTGTAAAGTTCACTACTCAGCATACTCTCTCCTGCTAAATGATGCAATGGTGGCAATGCACAGCGACTTTTAAGTTATGCTTCCACTATTTCCAAAACCAATTTTCCTTCAATCATGCAGTCCCAACTTGACCAATGTACATATTTGTTCATGTTTTCACCCAAACTCCTCAAATCCCTTCTTGGTATATGGTTAGGATCTATTTTACAGTTATGCCCCTGTGGTATAGCTAATTAGGTGAAAAATGTTTGACTAAAAATACCAGGTGAGATCGACACCAGGGTCAGACAGGCTTCTTTTGGCCTGATAGCCTCTGTGTACAAGTTCATGGCACATGCATAGGCTCTAGTCTAGCTAGTTTTCCTTGTCTTCTATTAGGGCCAATCCAGCCACTGGCCCATCTTTCTGTTAACTTTGCTGCAGCCAAATGACAAGGGTTCCTATAAACTGGCAGTAGAAAATGTAATACCTCAAATCTCTTGACATTAAAAAAAGCTTAATGTTTTAAAACTAACAATTCACAACAACTTTCACCTCCAGAGAATGTATAAGGGAAATGTTTTATTGTCACACCTCATCTCTATTTTAGTTAAATTTTAATGTAGATTAACTGGGAATAAGATGTTTTAATTAGAGCTTAAGCAGATTTGGTTCAACACATTATTTTTTTTAATTCTAACATACATTAATTTTCTCATATCACCAAGAATTATCTCAGATATAACGTAGCTACTCACCAAATATAATTCTATAAGATGTTATTTCATGGACTAAATATTTAATATTAGGTTATTTAGTTTTATTATTTTTCTCCTGAATCTTAAGAAGGCAGGAAAAATATGGCTAAGAAATAATTTATTGAAGCTAATTATTATTAAACAGCATTTCAAGACATAAATGCAAAACTGAACAACACACCTGATTCAATGATGAATCACTATCAGAGCAATTGTCTGTGCGGTAACTATGGCTTTTCTCCTTTTGGATTTTTTTCTGCCTTTCTTGATTTCGTGTCTCATCTTCTTCAAACTTGTTAATCATAGACTCGACCACAGCTATCATAATGTTCTTCAGGTAATGCATCATTTCTTTGTACCTTTAAATTCAAGGTAGTCTTAATAAGAGAAAGACGATCAGAAATTAAAACAGTCAACTAGTTAAATTATCTAATTTTTTTTCTATAAAAAGGGAAGTCCCTTTAAGAACACAATGCTAAGGAGAAAAATCGAACTCAATTTTTCTTAAAGAAGAAGTGGTAGAACAGAATTCACAAAACAGCAATAAAAATTAATAGAGAATTCAAAAAGTATGTTATTTCCTAGGTTTTTTCATGGTTACATGGATCAAGGTAGTAAAATTAAAAGAACCTAAGGCAAGAGGTTTCAATGGCATGGATTCCAATTGCTAGCAACAAAGTCAACTATTAATATTATACTACCAAAACCCAGGCTATTTTATACATCACCTTCATCCTCTTACCTTATACCTATCTCTTTCTCCACCCCCCTATCCTTTATTTTCTTTCCTTCTCTTCTCCCTTGCCCATACTTTATATACACCCATAGCCACAACTGAGAGCTCTTGTATACTCCCAAGACCTATGTAAGAGTTAAGCTATCAACGTGTCCTTTCAAACAGAGGCTGGGAAATCCACTCTCAGGATGTTAGGAAAAAGATTCCTGAAATCATTAGGAGTGTGAATTGGATAATATTTAAAATCTCTTTCGGAAGGTCTAAAAATCTCAAAAAGAACTGGTATCAAATTTCTCTACTTTGTAAGTTCAAACTCTCAAGCATCCATATGAATATGAGACTGAAATCCTCAAAAGAACTAAGAATAGAATTTTAGAGCTAGAAAGAACCATAAATATAGTCTAGCTCTTTATTTTACAAATGAGGCATATGTGACCTGAACCACTGAAATTTCTATATTTAAAACAAAAAAGGCATAAAGATGTAAGTAAAAATAGTGAATAAATTATAAAATTTGAAATTAGAAAACTTGAATGGGGATCCTGACTATTTTACCAGCCAGCTCTGTCATCATAAATAAGTTTCAATTTCCTCAACTATAAAATGAGATTAAAAAATACAATCTAGCTAACCTATTTCATATGACTATAGCAAGAAATAAACATATGTTTATGTGTATATATATATATACACATATATATCCAAAATGATAATAAATACATGTATAGTGTGTGTGTATATATACATATATACACGTATTTATTATCATTAAAATAATGAAAATACACTAGGAAAATATGCACAGAAATGTCCTTTTCTGTATAATTCTGAATAATGCGTCATTGCAACTCTATAAATCAAAAGAAGAAAAGGTAGTTTATCTCTCATAAGAGAAATCAAACCTGCTGGGGAATCTGAATAGAAATCATAGACTGAGATTTTATATAAAAAGTATAAAATATATTTTAAAATTTTGTTAGATATAATTTCTACATAATTTAAAATATATTAATATATTTAAATGTAATATTTAATATGTATATCATACAGAACTAAAAGTTTTAAAATATATGTATTTAACATATTTCTTTAAGTACCAGAAATTACGAGAAAACACAAAAATACTGAAAGCAGATGGAAATAAATTAGGAACCGCTAGGGGGAGAAACATACAGAAGGTAACTCAATAGAGGTAACAGAGTCCGAGGAATATCCCAGTTTAACGTAAAGGGACATAAAGAGCAAAAAGAAGTCCTGAGACACACACAATAATTTGCAAAGTATATATAAGGATAACTGAGCCCAGAGGCCCAGCTTCTGCCTCTATAGATTCTGGGCAGCAAAAAACAGGGAAACAAAACAGTGCCCTGGCAGCAATCAATACACATCCACCAAAAGCTGTTCTCTCCTTCCACAGTGATTGAATTCTAGCTGGTCACAGGACTAAACTACACTCCCCAGCCTCCTTTGCAGCTAGGTAAGACTGTGTGAACAACATAAAGTCCCTATCCCCTTAAAACTTATAATCTGGTGATTTAATAAAGAACTATAAAAGTAAATCTTAATGATATACAGGGTAGGGATAATGGTACTTAAAATCCATAGAAAATCTATAAGTTTCGCTTTGAACATGAATGTTTCCAACAGACCTTTTAGAAAAGACCAGCATAAATTGTGCTGTACGAAATACTAACAGAATGGCCACAGGCAGTAGCTAATAATTCTACAATGTAAATTTAAAAATAATGTCATATCATCAATATCAAGAGTTAAATGAACTAAAACTCAATAGCAGCCATTGCAGTTTTGAAAAGACTAAGAAAAAACAGATATAAAATAGAATATAAACACCATTGAGTAGATTCCTTCATGCTTTGCAAGTTTTAAAGACTACAGAAAGAAAAAGCTCTAAGAAATAGTGAATAAAAACCACATCAATTAACAATGAAATTCTACAGAGTAAGTACTTCCACTCATTATATGAGGAATAGTGTATATTATATAGATCCTACAAATGAATTCTTCTGTGTGCAAATATCTGCTTAAAAAATAAATATAAAAATGTTTAATTACAAAAATACTTTATAACAATTGAAATGCTGTTTACAGATGTAGTGTTGCTACATTAGCCCTAAGTGATTTCTAAAGAATCACCAAAAAGAAAAAGAAAAAAAAAACTGGGAAAAAAAAAAAAAAGCTGTACAATGTAAAATCTTTTATCCATGGTTCATAAAGTGGAAAATAAACATTTACCGAGTCATTTAAAATCTTTGTGAGGTAATTATTACTGTACTAATTTTAACACATGGATGAACTGAAACACAGGAAAATCAAATAGCTTAAGTAGAGATAAAAAGTAATTTCCTAGCAGTACCATATAAAATTCTGCTCTTAACCATGAAAATACTTTCATTAACCGTCTAATAAAGTATTTTAGTATTCCTTCTAGAATTAAGTTTAATGATACTGCTAGAAACAGACTTACTAGGAATTATATTATCCAAAGATAAAGGTGATTCTGTTTTTGGTTTTCTCAAATCAAGAAATAAGAAATCTTAGCCTCTACAACTTATGCTTGATATAGATTAGTGAATCGAACTTGCTAAATTTACTAAAATAGCTGTATGATGTCAATTTGTCAATTGCTAACATATTAATTTAAATAATACAATCAGTTGTCCCAAAGAGGAAGAGCTCCTGTCCAAAATAATTTTTTAAAGTTTACCTAATTAAAAGTAAATTAGATTTAATACTTTAAAATACAGTCATTAATATAAGCTCAGGTATATATTCAAACGTTTCCGATACTGGAAATATGAACCACAGCAAGTTTTCAAATGACATCATGTAATTCAACATCTTTTCATTATAACACTGACGAGAAAAAAAAATTGACAATGGCATCCTGCCTAGGGCTGGTTCCCACCTTGTACCCTGAGATGCCAGGCAGGATAGGCTACCAGCAACTCTGAAGTGGAATAATTATTCCAGTTAAATAATTATCTTGCTCTTATTAATCTTTCTTAAACATATATATAGCTCACACTTATTTCAATGTTTAATATTAGAAGTGTTTTTATCTTTATTTAGAAGTTTGGTGATGTTTCTTTGACCAGAAATATGCTGTAGGAACTTAACTGTTTATATCAATTAACCTAGACCCCAAAAAAAGTGAAGGAGCAAGTTATGCAAATATTTAGGAAAAGGGCATTCTAGGTAGCAGGAGCAACATGAGTGCAAATCCCTCCGGGAGGGACTTACTTGGTTTTTTGCAAAAGAGCAGGCAAGACCACAGTGGCTAGAGCAGTATGAGGGAGAAAATGATAAGAAATGGGGTAGGAGAGGGAGCAAAAGGCCCATGGTAGGCCTCGTTGACTACAAAAAGAATTCTGGGTTTTACTCAAAAGGAGATGCGAAGCCTTTGGAGAGTCTGGGTGAAAGGGTGTCATGATCTGACTCATTGTTTTAAAGAATCATTCTGGCTGCTATGAGGGAAATAGACTGTGAGGGACAGA
The DNA here is from genome assembly GCF_000001405.40 of Homo sapiens. Taxonomy (NCBI): domain Eukaryota; kingdom Metazoa; phylum Chordata; class Mammalia; order Primates; family Hominidae; genus Homo; species Homo sapiens. The sequence continues at coordinate 121,321,565 of NC_000006.12, forward strand.
GATCAGGGTGCTGTCAAGACGTCTTGTTGAAGAAGGTTATTTGAAGATATTATTATGGCCATACTCACTCTTTAGATTCTTGAGTTCTTTTAGTGACCTGCTGTACAACTGTATCATAGCCGCATTCTTCACCCTGATTCCGATCAGATGTGCATTTTTCCATTTCTTCTTCAATCATAGAACCCAAAGTGTTGCCTATATGCTGCCTGAGGTATTTCACAAATTCATAGCTGAAACAAATATTTAGAAAATAAATGCGGTAAATATCATAAGCATATTCAGAAAAAAAAATCAACACAGAAAGGTAACATATTAAGATTTCTTACCTTAAACTAGGATTAAATTAGTCATTCATCACAAATCATCAAGCTAATCTACTAATTTTTGGCTTTTTTTTTTCTGAGACACTTGGCAAAAATCATCATTTAAAGATTACCACAGTAGGGAAAAGCAAATTTCAGAAGCAGCCCAAACTTCAGCAGGTTAGAAGTCTCTTTACATTTCTTTTTTATGCTCCTATCTTTAACATGTGACAGTGAAGAGTATGAAAAGCAGTTGTTAAGGATTTTCAGTTATTCGAGCTGATGAGGAAAATCATCTAGAATACAGTAATCATGAAATAAGAAATTGGAAAAAGTTAACTTCCATCATCAGAAGAGTTTTGTGTACATTTTGAAAGTAGTAACTGATGTAACTTCCACCTAAACAGTTCTTATGTTACTAAGATTATCACTATTATTAAATTCAAGACACACTTTGCCATTGGTATTTAAAGCCCTCATAGATTCCAATTTATCCTACCAGATCTATGTCCCATTACTACCTTACACATGCCCAACTCTCCATGTGATGTTTATTCCCAATACCTTTGAAAACATTATTTCACCCACTTAAGAGTGTTTTACCACCACTCGTATAGATTGTCTTCTACAGCCTAAAATGTTACCTTCTGATAAAAGCTTTCCTTGTTTCTCAACGACTGATATCCTTTCTCACCTAAGACCCAAAAGTACTCTGTCCTTCTCTATTAGCATGCAAAACATTTTCTTGGATGCAGTTATATGACCTGCTTTATCCCCTGCTTCATTCCTGACCACCTCTACACCTAGATTTCTACACTGTTGGTAGACTTGACAACAGAACAAATCCATTTATCTATCATCTGCAATATCTTGTACATAGTAAACACTTTATAAATACTTGTTAGGTTGAAATATAGCATTGGGGAAAGGTTTATCTCTTCATTTTCTACATCAGTGGCTGTGAATTTGAATTTGCTTATCTTTTCTAAATGTTTGTTTTAGTTGTTAATTCCTTGTTCATGTAATGTCTATTAGCAAATTTCTGATGACATTATGCTATAATTATACCCCCCATATATGGCCTCTTATCCTTCCTATAATTCGCCTATAAGAAAAAGAGAAGAGGAATGAAAAGAAGAAAAAAAAAGTGTACAGCAAAAAGCACTCTCCTCTTTCCAGCTACCCACCACATTTTTGGCACTAACAGCATTATTTTTCAATACTCCCAAACTTGACAACATAGGATGCTCTTTAATGTCTGCATCTTCTGCACCCCTTGCCCATCCACTCAATCATATCCATGCAGTCACCAACATGTGTTAATGTTCCTGTACATCCCTGACTTTCATTACTGCCTCCCTTTTTTCTCTATCAATCAGTACAAAGCCATATCACTTCAGAGATTACTGCAGCAGCCTTCTTGTTTAACTTCTCACTTCCCTCTCTCCTCTCATATTTTCTTCCCTCTCATATTCATCCCAAACACTGTAGTCATATTAGCCTTCCAAAAGAACTTATTTTATTATTTCAGTCAGAGCTAGAGCCATTTTACTCATACCAATACCTCATACCATGTCATGCATGCACATAATGCCTCAATAAATATTTGCTGAATTTATAACAATTGGCTGCCTATTATCTTTCATGGTCAAATACTGCTTCCTTGGCCTGGACTTTAAATACCTAATCAATCAAATCTCTTTATAAGAGTATCTCTACTTAAACGAGGCTACATTCAAAATTCCCAACAAACCTTCAACCATGTTGATCTTCATATGAGAAAGCGATAAACTGGCCGGGTGCAGTGACTCACGCCTGTGATCCCAGCACTTTGGGAGGCCAACGTGGGCGGATCACAAGGTCAGGAGATCGAGACCATCCTGGCCAGTATGGTGAAATCCCATTTCTACCAAAAATACAAAAATTAGCTGGGCGTGGTGGCATGTGGCTGTAGTCCCAGTTACTCGGGAGGCTGAGGCAGGAGAATCACTTGAACCCGGGAGGCGGAGGTTGCAGTGAGCCAAGATTGCGCCACTGCACTCCAGCTTGGTGACAGAGCAAGACTCCACCTCAAAAAGAAAAAGGTGATAAACTAACTTGTAAGTAACTACCATGCTAAACTCTGTGCTAAGCACTTTATTGATATTATTCTATTTACCATATGATAGGTAAAATAGATGAGGACACAGATTCAAAACATGAAAAAACCTAGTTAAATTCATAAGCTACTAATTCATTCACTTTACTCCAAAGCCCATGTTAATCCCATAATCCCAGAGTCCCAAAGATGTAAAAATATCAGAAGTGTTATAAGATATTTTATAGTTGTAAATTGAGTGAAAAGGGAAATAAATAAATGTAATACTCATATCTTTACCAATTTGTAATTATTTCAATTTCTTTCATTTTGCAACAAAAATTACATTTTATTCCCCCAAAATTATAACTAGCATATTAAATTTAAAAGTATAATTTACTTAAATATTTTAATTATTGATTGAATTTTCTTTAAAATGTTCAATATTTATATTCGATGTTTAGATAGTAAATTCTATGCTTTAAGGGAATAAGTATTTAGAATAGCAGAAGAGGAAGCCTAAGCTATTTTGTAAATCTAATGTCTTATAACATTAGATTGAAATAGCAAACATTAATTTTCAGAAATACAGTCCAAGAAAAACAAAACCCAAAGTTTACTGAATCATATATCATAGAAAACAGCCTCTAATCATCATGTAAATAGTCTGTGCTTCTTTTGGTAATTCATCATTGCCTTATATTATTTGAAGATCTTCCCATATACATGGAAACTTCCTATGTATACTAAATATTTATTCATTATTTCATTTGTGTATGTCTAATTTTAAACCAAATCTTTGCACATTCCATACAAAACAGTGAAATCACACTGGTAAGAAAAAAATTCAAAAATTAAGGTTTCAAGAGAACCCTTTAAATATGTCCTCAATTTTGTAATATCTGACAACTGCTTCTACACACAGTTGGCTCTGAAACAGACTTGGCAGATGTGCACGATGAGGTAAGTCAAAAAAGCTCTTTGGGCTGGGCACAGCGGCTCACGCCTGTAATCCCAGTACTTTGGGAGGCCGAAGCAGGTGGATCACCAGAGGTCAGGAGTTCAAGACCAGCCTGGGCAACATGGTGAAACCCCAGCTCTACTAAAAATACAAAAAAATTAGCTGGGCATGGTGGCACATGCTTATAATCCCAGCTACTTGGGAGGCTGAGGCAGGAGAATCGCTTGAGCCCAGGAGGTGGAAGTTGCAGTGAGCCGAGATTGTGCCATTACACTCCAGCCTGGGTGACACAGCAAGACTCCATCTCAAAAAAAAAAAAAAAAAGCTCTTTGTTCTCTACCACAACCATGCATCACAACTAGGAACCCAATGAATCAAGAATCAGAACATCTGATATTTCAATTCCATAAAAGTATCACTACTTTCCAAAAAGAACAAAGCTGGAGGCATCACGCTACCTGACTTCAAACTATAAGATACAAGGCTAACCAAAACAGCATGGTACTAGTACCAAAACAGATATATAGACCAATGGAACAGAACAGAGGCCTCAGAAATAATGCCACACATGTAAAACCATCTGATCTTTGACAAACCTGACAAAAACAAGCAATGGGGAAAGGATTCCCTGTTTAATAAATGGTGTTGGGAAAACTGGCTAGCCATACGCAGAAAGCTGAAACTGGATCCCTTCCTTACGCCTTATACAAAAATTAACTCAAGATGAATTGAAGACTTAAACGTAAGACCTAAAACCATAAAAACCCTAGAAGAAAACTTGGGCAATATCATTCAGGACATAGGCATGGGCAAAGACTTCATGACTAAAATACCAAAAGCAATGGCAACAAAAGTCAAAATTGACAAATGCGATCTAATTAAACTAAAGAGCTTCTGCACAGCAAAAGAAACTATCACCAGAATGAACAGGCAACCTACAGAATGGGAGAAAATTTTTGCAATCTACTCATCTGACTAAGGGCTAATATCCAGAATCTACAAAGAACTTTAACAAATTTACAAGAAAAAAACAACTCCATCAAAAAGTGGGTGAAGCATATGAACAGACACTTCTCAAAAGAAGACATTTACGCAGCCAACAAACATATGAAAAAATGCTCATTATCACTGGTCATTAGAGAAATGCAAATCAAAACCACAATGAGAAGTAGAACTCTTGGGTATGCTTTGTTATAAAGCCCAATCTGTAAGCAACACAAAGGATATATCTGTAATTGAGGCCGTGAGGAAATTTAACACAAGCACATTAACAAAATGTAGTCAATAAAGCTAAGAAAAACACAATTCTAAAATAAAAGACACATCAAAAAAATCCCTATAGAGAAGGAAGGGATACAGCTAGACAGGAGGAGTAAGTTCTAGTGTTCTATTCTAGGGTAGGATGACCATAGTAACAATAATACATTATACAGTTTCAAATACCTAGAAGGAAGATACTGAATTGAAAGAAATGATAAATGTCTGAGATGATGAATACACTAATTACCTTGATCTGACCGCTATACATGTATGGAAACATCACTATGTACTCCATAAATATGTTCAATTATTATTTGTCATTTTAAAAATAAAATTCATTTTTTAAAAAAATCTCCACCATTTAGCAACAGCTGTAAATAGCAAATATCCTGGAAAACTTTTAAATCTACTCTGTGGAAATCGGAATAACCTCATGCTTTTTTCTAGTGACTTAATTTTTACCTATGACCACAGTAATATCTCCAGAAGACTCATTCAAAATGCTTCCAGGTTTTAGTCCAAGTTCTAAATTAAATGAACCCAAGGACCCCAGGGTTAAATCTTGTCTTAAGAGGTTACTGCTCTTTTCAAAAGAATCTTCTAGGGAAAAAAAAAAAATCTCCAGGAGTGGCAAGCCCCTTTACAATGAAAGGACTGCCAGGCTGCCCATAGCTAAGGGTATTCTACTGACTCAGGGACCATTGAGAAACTTTCAGAGCCTCCAATTCCAAATTAATGAACAGAGTCATTTCTTCAAGTGGGCCTTCTACTCTTTAGGTAAGAGTATCTCAAGACTTTAAATACTCATCCAACAATTAATTTTATGTTGTTTCTTTTACCATCGGAATTCATGGCAACACCCCATAAAATACTAAATGAAGCTGCTATTCTATAATGGTGCCCCAGGATAGAAAATATTGTTGCAACGATGGGAACAACAGACACCAGGACTCCAAAAGATGGGAGACAGGGAGGGAGCAAGAGTTAAAAAAAACTACCTATCAAAATACTATGTTCACTATTTAAGTGACATGATCAATAGAAGCCCAAACCTCAGCATCACGCAATATACCCATGTAACAAACCTAGGCATGAATCCCATGAATCTAAAAAAGGAAAATTATTATTGCAATGGAGCTGGGATAAATACAGTTCTACAAAATTAAGTACTGTGTTTCCTACATTGTAATCCTGATAGTATTGGTGCTATGTACTAGCTCTTATGAAATCTATATCTAATCCCAAAGATTGATAGTACTACTGATTTTTTAATCAAATATTCCCGTTGCATCATTTTTAGAAAATAATCTGGAGATATAATATATTCTAGTTATTTTGTACAAAAGCCCTGGATACCTCAAGAAGACTTTCAAAAGGCCCTTATACTTATCCCAGGGAGTGCAAACTCAGATGCTACAGAGGGTAGTCTGGTAAAGGAAAGCAAGCCATGTATGAGAGAGAATGGATAGAGGTTGTGGTAAAATAAAGACATGCCCCAACTAAAGGCAAAGCTTCTATATAGTTCCAGCAACTGTCTTTAAGAAATATGAGCCTGGTGTTAACCTTTTAACATTTTAAGGAAAGCCAGAAAACTGATTTTTATACATTATCTCTCAATTTTTAAATGGTACTTTTCTTCTTTTTTTTAATGTAGTCAAAGTAAACATGTCCACAGACCAAATATGGTCTGCACAATGCTAGTCTGGCCTTTCAATAGCGTCTCTCCCGAAGAATTACAAAATTCCAACCACTAAAGATACTATGAATGTCCTATATGTTTAAAATTTCTATTCAAGAAACACAAAAGCTCTCTGAAAAACCTATATCATGCTTAATAACTTATTTTAGAATATCCTTACAAGGTTTAATTTAAATCAATTCTGCTAAAATTTAGGTCCTATCCTTTCAGATCTTTAAGCAGGCTGTTAACATTTTCAGATTTCACATATTCCAATTGTGCTTAAAATATCGAGACTATAATAGGAATAATATAGCTTTGACTGACATGGGTTACAATAAATACAACTTCCACTTATTTCTATTTTAATTAAAGTCTATTAGTATTCACTATTCATTTTAAATTTTTCTAACTGGTTTTTCTAGTTTTTTATTTTTTATTTATTTATTTATTTATTTTTTGTGACGGAGTCTCGCTCTGTCACCCAGGCTGGAGTGCAGTGACGCGATCTCGGCTCTCTGCAAGCTCCGCCTCCCAGGTTCACGCCATTCTCCTGCCTCAGCCTACCGAGTAGCGACGACTACAGATGCCCGCCACCACACCTGGCTAATTTTTTTTTTTTTAGTAGAGACGGGGTTTCACCGTGTTAGCCAGGATGGTCTCGATCTCCTGACCTCGTGATCCACTCGCCTCGGCCTCCCAAAGTGTTGGGATTACAGGCGTGAGCCACCATGCCCGGCCTCTAGTTTTTTAAGATATAGTCTGTACAACGAATAAACAAGTTTATAATTGCTATACTTCTTTTAATAATCTGTGAAGCAGGTTTGCTTCAGGTTTAAATTCTGAAGTTTACACTGACCAATCTTGCAACCTTAGGCAAAACACCTGACCTTACTTTCAATTGCCCACTACTTAATGGTGATGATAATCTTAATATTAAAATGTTTTTTACATAATAGTGTTTTCATATACTTTGACATTTTTCTCACCAAATATACTATGCATACATTTGACTAACCTTGTTACTTTAGAAGTAATTTAATGAGAAAAAATAAAAATTTGGTACCAATGACACTATTACCAAATGAATGCAAAATATCTTTTACAAAATATTCTTCAAAGAGGGACATTAAAACCTAAAAAGACAGCTGTTTGTTAATAAAGAAAGACATGTGGAGTGGAGCTCACCACACTTCAGAAGCAGCTCAATTAAAACATACAGCAATGTGTCTGATTATTCATCAGTAGTAACTGATTATTTGAAATTCTTCACATTTACATTGAAAAACTTTACCAAATTGAGTAAAAGAACATTCACTTTTTCCATTCTCTTTTTGCCAGATTTCTTACCTATATTTCCCAAAAAAATGCAATTTTTTTTTCTATGATAAACTTCTGACATGTTCGTAATGTTTATATAAAAATACGGAGAGGTTACTCTTACAACATAAGTACATTAAAAAATCTCATTGGTACAAGTTTGTTTCAAAAAAGTCATCCTTTTAGCTATTTAAAAAGGCAAGCGGTCAGGAGCAGTGGCTCACACCTGTAATCCCAGCACTTTGGAAGGCCAAGGTGGTGGGCAGATCACCTGAGGTCAGGAGTTCAAGACCAGCCTGACCAACATGGTGAAACCTCGTCTCTACTAAAAATACAAAAATTAGCCAGGCGTGGTGGCAAACACCTGTAATCTTAGCTACTTGGGAGGCTGAGGCAAGAGAATCACTTGAACCTGGGAGGCAGAGGTTGCAGCGAGCTGAGATCATGCCATTGCACTCCAGCCTGGGGGACAAGAGTGAGACATCGTCTCAAAAAAAATAAATAAATAAAATAAAAAAATAAAAAGGCAAGAAATATTCAATCATATATGGAAAAAATTATCACTAATTTTTTAAAAAATATTTTATTAGTGGTTATGAATTGTAATGTTGACATGAGGAATTCTTAAAATAGGCTGTATTTTAGAATCATTGAATTTATTATATGATGAACTTAATCTTATATATCACATTAGTATACATAAGGCCATATAATAGAAAGAACAAGTATTTTACATCTCCTACAACTTTTTAGGTCAAAAAATAAGCTTTTGGCTCATAATAAAGTTACTAGGAATGCATTCATTAATTATAGAAGGACACATAATTCTTGGTAATTTTCTCCATACAGGTAAATCACCTTACAGAATGAATACTTTCTTATTTTATTTTATTTTATTTATTTTGTTTTATTTTGTGACAGGGTCTCGCTCTGTTACCTAGGCTCACTGCAGCCTTGACATTCTGGGCACAAGAGATCCTCCCACCTCAGCTTTCTGAGTAGCTGGGACTACAGGCACATGCCACTGCACCCAACTAATTTTTATATTTTTTGTAGAGACAGGGTTTTGCCATGTTGTCCAAGCTGGTCTTGAACTCCTGGTGTTAAGTGATCTGCCCACCTCGACTTCTCAAAGTGCTGGGTTTACAGGTGTGAGCCACTGAGCCCAGCCCCGAGGGAATATTTTCTTGAATTACCTCTTAAACATACTAGAGTTCCCTAATTAAAAAGTCACCGGTGAATTCTTCTGTAAAACAAAGAATAACACTCAATTCAATAAATATTACTATGGTCCCTCTGTATCAAAAACATATCAAGTGAGAAGGCTATAACGATGACCCTCTGCATTAGAGACTGTTAAAATCATTAGAATTGGTAGGTACTTTTAAAAAAACAACAAAACACTCTATTTCTCACTGAAATGCCAGTAACTATGCTCTAATTCTGAGGTCTCAACTCTAACTGCACATTAGACTTACATAGAAAGCTTTGCTTTAAAACCTCCAGGGCCCAGCCTCTACCACTTCCCTCTGCCAAAACCCCCAGGAAATTTTGATTCATCTGTGGTGGGGACTAAGCATCAGTATTTTTCTAAATAGCCCCCAGATGGTTCCAGTGCAGCAAAGGTTGAAAAGCAATGCTGCTTTACAGGGAGCCAGTCTGCGTGTAAAAATTTACACAACACATACACACATAATGAAAGCAACGTACTCTTCTCTCTCTCCCCTCCCACCAGGCCTCAAATCCTTGCTGCCATTCTTAGAGAAAGGCAGGAGAGCTTGGATCTTTTAGAGAGTGTATACAGTTTACTGTAGAAAAAGAGAAGTGCCTATGAAAAGCAGAGATAGTATGTTAGCTGTCCCATAAAACAAATGTCTAGATATGGCTGTACTGCCTACACTGTAGTTTCTCCCCAAATGACACTTTCCCTCACTTTATTATACCACCTGAAATTACATTAACTGTCTTAAAAACCATCTTCTTACAAAAATGTTAACAGCCCAGCAACAATTTCCCCTATAAGTCTTTTTGGTTTTTTGTTGTTGTTGTTGTTGTTGTTTTTGAGACGGAGTCTCTCTCTCTGTCACCCAGGCTGGAGTGCAGTGGCACGATCTCGGCTCACTGCAACCTCTGCCTCCCAGGGTCAAGCAATTCTCCTGCCTCAGCCTCCTGAGTAGCTGGGATTACCAGCACCCACTACCATGCCCGGCTAATTTTTTTTTTTTTTTTGTATTTTCAGTAGAGACAGGGTTTCACCATGTTCGCTAGGCTGGTCTTGAACTCCTGAACTCAAGTGATTCACCTGCCTTGGCCTCTCAAAGTGCTGGGATTACAGGCATGAGCCACCATGCCCAGCCTCCCCTATAAGTCTTTTAATTAGATTATTTTTCTTGCTAATTACAGGTCAACATCACTTGGATTTAACGAATCAATGTTCTAATAGTGGAGGTGGAAAAATGAGTAATTCTGAAATAAACACTTTGGAAAGGAAGACACACCTAAGTGACTCTAGAATAAGTGTTGAAGGAGAGTCAGGTCACTGAAAGAAAAAGAAATGGAAATATGAGCACCTGAAATAACTGACCTTTAAGATCCCTTCCAACTCTGAGATTGTAAAATTCCATGGAGAGACCAAAGTTAAGCAGCTCCTCTTTTCCTTTCTCATATAAAAGAGTTCCCTCCTCCTAAGACACAGATCTCAGACTACTGCAGCTAAGACATTATAAATTTTATCCTATTATTAAGACTAAAAATGACTTTTAGGATTCTATGTCAAGTCTTACCTTTAAGACTATAAACTAGCTATAATTTGAGTCTCTCTGGATTGTTTTTTAGGAGGCCACAAGTAAATCTCTTTAGTAAATAGTAACTATTAACTGTGCATGTCATGCAACAAGCATTTATTTAATCTACCTAATGAGCTGTTGAAGGGTAATACAGTATTACAAGAGTCATTAGACTTCGGAGAGGAACTACAATGACCCAATTTTAACTTGAAAAAAAGTTTTAAATTGATACAGATAAAGCAATAATTATAGGCAAACGTGTAGCTTTAAATGCTTCTATTAAAAAAGAAAAAAGAGCTGCAAATTAATGAGCTAGTATTCAGTACAATAAGGTTAAAGGTTTCCCACATAGAAAAAAACAAAGAGCAGAAATTGATAAAACAAAAAATAATATATGTGTCTATATAACGAGGAGAAAAAGCCAAAAGTTGGTTCTTTGAAAAGGCTAATAAACTTCTAGCATAACAGATGAAGAGCAAAAGTGGGAAGATACAAATAAAAACAAAAGGGAACATGACTACAGATACTGGAAATACTAAAAAGATAACAGGATATTCATGAAAACCTTTTTATAAATAAGTTTGAAAATCTAGATGAAATGGCCAAATTCCCAGAATATGATACTAGCAAAAACTTACTCAGTAATTTACAGATGACTTAAACAACTCCATGTAAAATAAAAACCAGAAATGAAATCCCAAACATAATGCTTTATGTGGATGTGTGTGAGGTAAATTATTACATGAGTTTACAAAACATTAATCACCCAGCCTATATTTGAAAAAGTTCTAATTTTTCTGTACTCCACTGTTTAATAAATCTGTAGCTAACCAGTAAAAGCTAGTCTCTGGTAGCACCAAAATAAATAACGTTATCATCTAATAACAGGTATTAGTAGTGAATTTAATGAGAAAATAAACAAGAAAATCATGGAAATACAAAAGAAAAAGAAACCGTAAGTATAATCGTAAATACCAAAGAAATTAGAAACTCCATTATTAATGAAGATTCCTTTCACACTTTTTAAAACTCAATTGAGAAGGTAGTGAAAACTGTAAATACTCCCCCTATAAAACTGCAAGTAAACACAAACTTGTACATAGAATTTCAAAGAACTCAAAAATACCCTGATGCACATATATGATATTGACAGGAGTTCCAGATAAGTAGAACTTCAGGGTACCCAAGGGTATCCAAGAGACAGTAAAGGTAGTATAACTAGAAAAATTTCCAGTGTCATCTCTGTCAGATCAAAATGAAATGCAAACACTGGGTTAAAAACATTAGTAATAATAATGAATGGAAGCACCTGGAGGTAGACTTGTAAATTCAGAGGCTTAACTTAAATTATATGAACCAAAAGAAAAACATAAGTCTCTAAAGATCTTCAAGATCTACCTCAAATGGCACTTCTATCATTAAACCTCTTTTTCCTACTGCTCCCACACGCAGAGCACTCTGACCCCCCTTCTCTGTCTCTTATATTTCTGACATGTATCACAGACATTTAGTTATGTGGCTTACTCCTCTAGACAAACTTAAGAAACTATTCCAGAGGAAACTAATGATCTCACTTCGGTATTCCCTTTGCAGTGCTCAGAGTGAGTAATTCGTGCGGCCACTTAAAATATCAGCAGATATTTTCAAGGAACAAAGATCGTTGGAACTCATTGCTTTTAAGTACTGTATACTGACAGGAATCCCTTGAAATCGTGGAAGTATTCTTTCAAAGAACATGAATAATTTATAATTAATATTACTGTGCTGCCCGGGTGAGGCGCGGGGGAATGGATTATTAGGATATGCTGGTTGTGGCAGTAAAAATATAGAGGCGGCGGCCGGGCGCGGTGGCTCACGCCTGTGATCCCAGCACTTTGGGAGGCCGAGACGGGCGGATCACTTGAGGTAGGGAGTTCGAGACCAACCTAGCCCACATGGTGAAACACCGTCTCTACTAAAAACACAAAAATTAGCCGGCCGCGGTGGCGGGCACCTGCAATCCCAGCTACTCGGGAGGCTGAGGCTGGAGAATCGCTTGAACCCGGGAGGCGGAGGTTGTAGTGAGCGGAGATCGAGCCATTACATTCCGGCCTGGGCGACAGAGCGAGACTCCCCCTCAAAAAATATAGAGAGAAAGAGGCGGCAGAAGCTTTAGGAAATAAGAATAAATGTTAAATAAATTCGACGTTTTGGCAAATAAGAGAAAAAGTAAACCTCCAAGTTGGGCACTATTTTAAAAACAATAAATAAATTAACACTGTTGACCCTTCTCTGGACCCTCTCTGGATCGATGGTTTATAGGCTTAAAACATCAAAAGCAATTTTACTTGTGAAAATTTTCATCAGTTTCCTCCAGATGTAAAAGAATCTCTTCGGCACACTCCAGGGAAGGGGCACCCGTGATTTTCTCCTTCACGCTCTGGAACAACCGCCTCAGCATCGCCTGCAGCATCGCCTGGTCCTCGCTGGAGAAATGGGCCATCCTGTTGGAATCAAACGTCCACTCTCATTACTCCAGGTCCGAGCAAAAGCCGCGCACTGCGCACGCGCACGCGCACCCCCACCCAGCCCCGGCTACGTGCGGCGTCGTTCCCAGGGATACCGCGGCGAGCGCCTGTGCCTGCGCCCTCAGCTGCCAGTGCGTCATTTCGGAAAACGAGTCACCTTACTTTGGGGAAGCAGGGGTCCGCGAGGTCTCGCCTCTGGTACTCTTAGTTGCTAGCCTTCAGTACCAGCAGACCTCAGGCTCTCCCGACTAACAACAAAAGAGACATCAGGAATGATCTGATGGGAGGACCCGACGACGGAACGCCACGATGCGCGTGACGTCAGCTCGCTGATGTGGCTTCCTTGGTGGGAGGGAGTGCAACTGGTGTCCTGGGGGCGCCCAGAGAATGTTCGGGTGAGCCACTCTCCTTCGCCGCCGCGTTGTAGGTGGGAGGGAAGAGAGTACGAAGAGAAAGTGATCAATAAAAGAAAGATAGTAAAAGTGAAACTGAAAGTAGCCTGACGAGCCTCAGTTGAAGAGTGAATGGTATTGAAAAGTTGCAGTGTTGTTTTCCTCTAACGGCTAACACCTATTGAGCTCCTACGCCCTACCAAACACTTTCCTTACCAAGCACCCTGCTAGGAGCTATGAAGAACTCCCTCACTAAGTAACAGAGAGAAAAATAAATTAACGATTACAATACAGTGCAATTAAATGTCATGCTAGAAAAAAAAGATATGCCAAGTCGGTGCTGTGGAGACCCAGAATTAGTTTCAACCCAATAGAGGAGTTGAGGAAAGAAGCAAAGAGAGTAAACTGGACATGCAAAGAATAGGGGCCTCAGAGTGTAGGATATACTGGCACTTGAGGTAATCGGGTTAGAAAGAGGAGATGAGGAAGCTAAAGAAGTAAATTGGTCACATCTGGAAGGGTCTAATCTTTTGGCACGTTAAGGGATTCGAGATTTTTCTGCAAGTAATAGGACGCAATGGGATTCCAGAGAGACACCATGTGATGGTATCATATATAAAGATCGTTCTGCGGGAAGCTGCAGTGGATATTCATGGTCCCTCATCCAGTTTCCAGTCTAGATCAATTCCCCAGACCATGGTTATGTCCAGGCTATAAGGAACCGTCCCACTGATGAGTGGTTCAATGTCAATGAATTCTCCTTTATCCAGCCTTATATTTTACTCCCCTAGTATCAGGTACACATCACATGTTAGACAGAATTAACGTCCTCTTTGATGTTTACGCTATTATTTTCTGAAGCAAAAGTATGATACATCTTTGCCAGCTCTAGCGGCATGTAACTCCATGAAATGTCTGCTAATTGTCTAACTACTGCATTAGGGGAAAAAAATATTAGCAGAGTAGGCATATTTGCAACTTTATTTGTGGGTGAGGGCTAAAACCCAATATGTATATGTACAAGTATGTGTGTGCACATACATAGAGTTACCAGCAATGTGACAGCTGCATATTCAAATTAACAGATGGTTGTATTGACAACTCAGACACGAAGACTGAGATAGCCATTAGTGATGTGATTTTCTGAAATATTGCTATTATTGGTAAGATTCAGAACAAAATTCCTTGGTTTACATGGCTTTTGCATTCCTGAAAAATTCAGTGTGTTAAAACTGTGCCAAATATTCCATTTATGTTTATATAATATTCATATTTATAATATGTATATTTCTAATTCCATGTTTATAAGTATTATATCTATTTATATACATGGAATTAGATCCTATTTATAAATATTATATCTATTTATATACATGGAATTAGATCCTAGACTCAAATACTTATCAAGAGTGTTTTTTCTGCATGAAATACCCAGAAAGACCATTGAAACCACTGAGAGTCATGGAAGAACCAGAACAATCCTTTTGTGTAGGTGACTGTCCTGGGTGTATTTTAATTTGTTTAAGTGTCCCTGTCTCACACTACAGATGCCAGTAAGTGCCCTGAAGCCACTGTGATGACAAAATGTCCCCAAATATTTCAAAAAGCCTTCTACGGGAGAATAGAACTGGACAGATTAACAACTACTGTTCTAGATATTATACCTTAGGAAGAAGGAAAATAAACTTAGAATACCTGAGATACAAGAAGGAAAGAGAGCAAAAACAGGAGGGATGCTTTAAGGTAAAATTCAATAAATATTGTTTTCATAAAATAATGATTATAAAATATTCTAATTTGTGAAGATTAAAAATACATAGTACTAAAATACTAGAAACAATAATTAGAAAGTAGGAAATAGAATAAGTTGAAATGTTCTGCAATCTTTGTATTTTTGTGTTTTTTTTTCTTTTTTTAGAGATGGAGTTTCACTATGTTGCTCAGTCTGGACTCAAATTCCTGGGCTCAAATGATCCCCCAACTTCAGACTCCCAAGTAGCTAGGACTGCAGATATGTACCACTGCACCCAGCATCTTGTGCTTTTCTAAAGGGAGTTTAAGATGTTAAACTTGACTGAGTCAGCATGGTAAAATTTCAAATGTAACCACTTGAAAATTAGAAATAGAGAATTTTAATTTAAAAATAGAAAAATTAAATAAGAGAACAATGAATACTTTTTTAAAAAAAAAAGCATTAGAAAAGTAGGAAAAATAAAAATATACAAAGAAACATTATAGAAAAAGCCCCAAACACTGATAAATTTAAATGAACTCAACACTCCACTTAAAAGCCAGAACTGCCAGATTGGATTTTAAAATGACCAACTGTATGCTATTTATTAGAATCCTAAAATCCTAGAAAAGTAAGAATTTAAAAGACGGGAAAAGATAAAATAGGTGAATATTATCCAAAATGAAGCTGTTGAAGCTATACTCATATCAGCAAAAATAAAGATGTCAGGGATACTGAGTGTCGCACCATAATTTTTAAAAGTAGTTTAATTCAACAGGAAGATACAAAAATGTTGAACTTTTAATATTTTGAGAATTTTTAATAAGTAAACAAAGTTCTTAATCTCTCCAAAAGTTTTTAATATTTTCCAGAGAATATTTCTGCACATGTTCTTATATATCCTTAAATAAGATACACTCAACCTAGGAAGCTGAATTCCCAAGATATCCATGGGACACCTCTGAAGCACCATCTCAGCTTCAGAGCTCCTCATAAGATTGGCTGGAGACTTTTTTGCAAGAGCATTACAGCTGAACTTCTCCTTATACCTAATTCTTCCTCCCAGACTCTTCCCAGACATTGTTCCCAAGAGTACACCCCAGTAAGTCTACTGCATATGAATCTCTGAGTTTGAGTCTATTTCCGAGGGAATCTGATTCAGTCAATCAGATATTATCCCATTATCCAACACATGGTGTTCTTACAATAATAACATGAGTTTCTGATCGTGTCATAGACTGCCAGGTCATCCTTATGTCTGTTCTGTACACAGTGGACTCTTGTCAAAGAACTAATTTTTGTCCCAAAGAGATATGGCCACAGTAGCAATGTCAATGATCTAAATTTTTTTATGTATTTTCTTTACTTTTTTGAAAAGCTGTGAGCATAGTATTTCATACCCATGGATTTGCAGTGAGATAACACATGTAAAATACTAGCAAAGGCCTTGAATTTTGGAAAAGTGTTCAATAACTATTGAATATTATTATCATCGTTGCCCATTTCTACAACTTTGAATTGGATATTTTCATAGAACTTAGCCAGCCAGATGCAACTTTTATAAACTGATAAGAGAGTAAAGTATTTCAAATCTTCCAAGTTTTGAAATTGGCTTTTTCTTCTCTAGGTAACAAATCAGAATGAAATTAGGGAGCTATAAACCTCTAACATCTCTACTTAAAGACTTTTTATTTTTGGGATCTCCCATTTTAAAATGACTTTTGTTTTTTCCCAGGGAGATATTTGGTTGGAAAACCAAACACTTACAGATGAAAAATTTCTTCAAAAGTCTGACATAGAGTTTGGCCATTACACAAAACATAGTTCTTGGCTTTGAAAATTTGCTCGCATGTCTGGAGAAATAATTTGAATTGGTATAAATAACTATGTTTCCTTATTTACAGGAAACATAACATTCCTTATTTACAGGGATCACTTACTGATCCCTCCTAAATTATTGGCCTAAGCAATTTTCCAAATAAGCCTCTTGAGCTAATGTCCTAGCCTAATCCTGCTTTTAGTATGATGCCAGCAAGACAAGAATCTCACTGCTCTGAAAGCAAGGCTAAAATATATTCACTCTCATGTTTCCAGCATTGAATCCAACTTTGAAGATATTTGTTATGTGGTCTACAAAATTCTGTACATCAGGTGTAACTGAACCTTGCTTCTTAAGACTTGATTTTAATACACGTTCCCCCTTCTTTGGTTTTATTAATTTGAGACCATATTCAGTCAAATTCAATCTACTCTCATGTCTAAACAAGTCTCTAAACTACATGTGCATTGTGTGTGCATGTGAATTTCTTCTTTCACTTTAAGAAAAAATATAATATAAAAAACATATTTGTTCCTTAATAGAGTTATAAGATGAATTAATTTATCACAAACAATTTTAGTAATAGAATTTTCAATAAAAATAGGATTTGTCTTGAGTTTGTTACTAAATAAAAACTTGAATAATTAGCCACTTACACGTATAGAGTTACATCTTTAGGAAAGAACATTAAAATGTCTTATGTGCTGGGAAATTTTCCATATTGCTCTAAGAAAAGAACACAAAGTTGGAGAAAATGACTTTCATGCCAACATTCCTATGCATAAATCATAGAATTCAAATGTTTTCATTAACTGTTTAGTAATTTGTTGCAAAGAAAAGAAAGTAATAATTCGGTGTTGAAAACAGAATTTACTACAAAGAAAATAACTGTTTATAGAATGCATGTTAACAATTATATATATATATTAAAAAATACACACACATACATTTTCCTTCTTTCCATTACAAAAAACATTTTAAAAACTTTACAAAAGTATAGAGAATAAAATGATGAACCTCTCAGATTTAAAAATGTTCAGTATCTTGCCAATCTTATGTCAACTATTACCCCCCGCCCCATTTGTTCTAAATACATTAAACCTCAAACATCTCGTCATTTGATCTATAAACACCGTGGCCTGCATCTTTCATAGATCAGGTCTATTCCCGCATAACCACTATATATATGATTATCCTTTACTACTAACTAAATTCATAAGACTTCCTTTATAGCATCAAATACAAGTTAACATCCAAATTTCCCTAATTGTCCAGAAATGTGTTTTCAGCGTTGGTTTATTTCAATCAGGAGCCAAACAAGTTCGCGTTTCATTTCGTTGAGTCTGTTTCAGCCTTTTCTCTCTCCTGTTCCCCCACTGGCTTGTTGGAGCAGTCAGGTCATTGACTCTGCATCGCCCCATGCCCTGGATTTGCGGACTGTGTCCTTGTGGTGTCATTTAACATGCTCCTCTAACCTTGAATTCCCTGTGGATTGCAGTTAAGACTAGAGAACTGCTGGCTTCACGGAGGTACAATCTGCGCAGTCATGGGGGGCCCTGCACTCAGAAGGGCTCTGTGCTGGGCTTAATGCTTGGCCAGGTCTGCCTTGAGTCTTAATACTATTTACCTTTGAACTTGTGTTTTGGAAGGACTACACAGCAGGAGCACAAAGCAGAGGAGAGGAGTTGATGATGCTGTGAGCGCAATATTCCAGTGCCCCTAGGATGCGCAGGTTAGCGGAACTCCAGGCCAGTAACAGGTCATCGTGTATGTCTATAACTGAGTCTGCAGGGAGGCCACACTTACCATGTGAGGTCTTGCTTCAAACGCAGAAAGAAGGCAATGACCTTGTGAATAACACCACAGACTAATGACCCTAGTCATACCTTTTCCTACTTATTTTATTTCCTATATTAATCAGGCACTTATGCCAAAAGTAATGGCATAGAAAGATAGGGAAAGACAGGAAAAGCCATAGTTCCTTTCTTTCAGTTCTTCCTTATTCACCAATAAGCTGAAGGCAGCATCAAGAAGGCAGTATCGTTGCCACTATCAGGAAGTGAAATAAAAATCCTTGATTTAGTTTTGCACAGCATTTCTGCTGTTCTAATAAGGACAAAATGTATATGCGTGTATGAGCTGCAAAATATGAATTGTGTAATTTCAGTGTTTCTGCATAGGAATATAATACTCATATTTGTATTTAAAATTATCATTGCACAATATGAAGATGAACACTAAAATTCAGCTAAAAATTTAGAATTAAAACTTTCTTTACTCAGAATGACCTTAAATAGCAAATAACAATGGTAAATTATTAGAACAAAGGGAAAGAAAAGGTTTTGTATTTGTGTACCATTTAGAGTAGTTTTTCCTGTTTTGTGAACAAGGGACTCCATGTTTTCATTTTTCAATACCTCCCCACGACCCTTGACAAATGAAGTCGCCAGCCCTGGCTCCAGAATTTATGAGTGTGGGGTAAATCCCTGCATGCACCTGCACAGAGCCCAGGCTCCCCTCCTCACTTACACGCTTGTGGTCATTGTCCGTTTCTTTGTCTCTGGGTCCCAGCAGACCAGGAACACAGACCAGTCAGCCTGCTCAGTTCTCCACTGTGCTTCCTGTGCTGAGCACAATCTGTGCATGGAGAAGACTTCTAAGTCCCTGGGAATAAGTGAGTGAATGGAGACAGGGGCCTCGCAGGCATCCTGGAGAGGGAGGATGAGATGTGGACTAGGTTAGTGATGGATGGTGGTGATAAAGAAGGGAGGATGAAGGCAAGATTCTCTTTTTTTTTTTCGTTTGAGATGGAGTCTCACTCTGTCACCCAGGCTGGAGTGCAATGGCATGATCTCGGCTCACTGCAACCTCTGACACCCGGGTTCAAGCAATTCTCCAGCCTCAGCTTCCCGAGTAGCTGGGACTACAGGCACCTGCCACCGTGCCCAGCTAATTTTTGTAGTTTTAGTAGAGACGGGGTTTCACCATCTTGGCCAGGCTGGTCTCAAACTCCTGACCTCATGATCCACTTACCTCAGCCTCCCAAAGTGCTGGGATTACAGGCCTGAGCCACCAAGCCCAGCCTAACGCAAGGTTCTTATCTACAAGGCACTGAAGGCCCACATAAGGCTAGGATGGATGTGTATGTGAAGGAGAGGCAGGGAAACTGGGTTCTGGCTTTCTGGTTCGGGCAACTGGGTAGATGGAGTGTCTTTACCTGAGATATTGCCCGAAAAAGGGGTCAGGTTTGTGAGAGGAGACTTTGTCTTACAAAATTTGTAAGTTTTGTTTACCTGACTGTTACTTGAGGGCATGTTATCAGCCTACAGCAAGAAGTCTTTTTGTATAAGAATTATGGATGAGCTATTTCAAGTCTTTTTGTGCTTTATTTTGTTTTTTGTTTTGTTTTGAGACGGAGTCTCACTCTGTCGCCCAGGCTGGAGTGAAGTGGAGCCATCTTGGCTTACTGCAACCTCCACCTCCCAGGTTCAAGCGATTCTCCTGCCTCAGCCTCCCAAGTAGCTGGGATTACAGGTATGTGCCACCACACCTGGCTAATTTTTTGTATTTTTCGTAGAGATGGGGTTTCACCATGTTGGCTAGGCTGGTCTCGAACTCCTGACCTCAAGTGATCTGTCCGCCTCAGCCTCCCAAAGTGCTGGGATTACAGGCGTGAGCCACCACGCCCGGCTTGAGCTATTCCAAGTCTTATTCCTATAAATATATTATATATGCTACCTCATTAAACTAATTAATAGTTGTTAATAGAGTAACATACATTTTCAGACTTGGGCTCAAATTTCATAGCTCACTTAGATCTTAGCTTAGGTTACAGTCTAAGCTGCTAGAAAAAACAGGCAGAGAGTGGGGGGCACCCAAAAATGTAGTAACTTCAGAAAGATAGCCATTTATTTACCTCTTATGTGTGGATCCAGATCTAGTCAGTCCCAATCTGGTAGAGTGGCTTTGCCATCATCAACAAGGATTTTTCATCTTTGGATCCAGGATGGCTTCTCCAATTCTCACCACTGCATCTGCTTCTTAGCCAGTGGAAAATATAAGCAGGCAAAGGCACAACCAAAAAGTGACATATGCTACTTCTGTTTAATCTCATTGGCCAGGACATACTTACATGAACACATGTAGCTGGAGAGGCTAAAAAGTGGAGTCTTTGCTTGAATAATAAAACTAGGATCTTGAGTGACTCAGAGAAGAAAGGCAGAATGGATATTGGTAGATAGCCAGCAGTCTCTGCCATATATACCTATGGTAATATTCTGGCTTTCCCCAAATTGTACACATTATTATTTACTGGCTAGATCAGATATTATTCACTTCAGGAGACAGAAACCAGTCTAGATATTTTAAGAAGTACAGGGGCTGGGTGTGGTGGCTCACGCCTGTAATCCCAGCACTTTGAGACGCCGAGGCAAGCAGATCACAAGGTCAGGAGATCGAGACCATCCTGGCTAACACAGCAAAACCCTATCTCTACTAAAAATACAAAAAAAAAAAAAATTAGCCAGGTGTGGTGGTGAGTGCCTGTAGTCCCAGCTACTCGGGAGGCTGAGGCAGGAGAATGGCGTGAACCTGGGAGGTGGAGCTTGCAGTGAGCTGAGATCCTGCCACTGTACTCCAGCCTGGGCAACAGAGCGAGACTCCATCTCAGGAAAAAAAAAAAAAAAAAAAGGAAGAAGTACTACAGGGATTTAGGAGTTTATAAAATTGCCAGAAAGACCAAAGAAGAAGGCTCTAAACTGAGCCTCAAGAAATTATTCCCAGAGCACTACAGAACTGAGCCTCTAGTAGCAATACTACTTCTGTGCTACTGTAGAACTATGAAATTTATGAATAAATAGCAATAGCCAAATTCAGGGATAGGAGATTTAGGTCTGGAAGCCTCTGTGATCCTCACAAATCCCCATCAAATCCCATAGAGCTGCTTATTGGGTACTGAAATATAGCCACCATCTCCACTGAAATTGCTTCCCAACACATAGGAAGCTGGAGATAAGTGTATGGAAGGATGCTACAGAAAATGTCACATTTCCATGACTGTGTTTGCCAGCATATACAGAACCAAGAAAAGGCATAAAACTTCTGCCTTCTCAATTGTGTAAGTGTGCTTAATTTGCAGAACCAAATTCACATGGAACACTAGCTGCACAGAAGTCTGAAAATGTCATTGATAGTGCCACAGCCTTTATAGGACAAGAAAGCACAGTAGACGGAGGGTGGATTTGAAGATGAGATGGCCAATCTACCATTCCTATGGTAGATAGCAACATATATTCTAGAAAATAAATTGATTGTCTATGGACACAGCTAAGTCAAAACTCAATTAAAATTCTCACAGATGGATGACTGGCTGAATTTTATTTTACTCATTCAATTAGCCAGATTCTGCTTATGAGTCCTAAGTTTTCATCTTTGACATTGATCTCTTATCATCTCACATACCTGTAACTACCCATTTAAAAATATATATATATTTTATATCCACATGCCAAACTCACCATTGCCAGCTACTGGTGATCATTTCTAAGATCAATGTTATCTCCACTATTCCTAAACCTCTTCCCACTATCCACACTTTATCTACCAGTTCCCAAAGTAAAAGCAGCTCTGAAGTCATTCTTCACTGTTTCTTCTACTTCAACTCCCAAATCCAATCTATCACCAAGTGCTGTTGATTCTGCTTCCTGAATCTCTCTCCAATCTGTATGTGTCTTCTAATCCTACTGCCACTGTTTATATTTTATATATATTATACTATATTACATATATATTAGGATATACTAAACAAATAGTAAGTTATATCATTTGTGGATTCTTCATAATATTTCTTTGTTTTTATTTCATTCTGATGGCCAATGTACAATTTCACATTGATAGGCATGTTAATTTTTTAATAGCTTTTGTGGTACAAGTGGTTTTTGGTTACATAGATGAATTGTATAGTGGTGAAGTCATATCAATAGACTTGTATATAACCAAGAAATGTTAAACTCATGAAATAAAAATAAGGCCAGCCAGTTCTTCTGTAAAGATACAATTCTTTCAATACAAACATTTATTTCAAGAAACATATAATGCTATGAGAAAAAATAATAAAATTGAAAACCAAAAAATGCATACATAAATTAGTATACGGCACTATTTATAGTTTTATATTGCCAGTAATAATGAAGAGCTATTACATATTTCATTGCTTTTTTTGCATCTTTAAAGTGTTTCATTTGGTAAGTTTTGATATATGTATATACATGTGAAACTAATGCTCAATGAAGATAATGAATATACCCATCACCCCAAAAGTTTCCTGGAACCGTATTGTAATCTGTACTTCCCATTCCTCCCCACTCTTCCTTCACTGTCCCTTGTCAGCCACTCATCTGCTTTGTGTCACTATAGATTAGTTTGCATTTTCTAGTATTATATATAAGTGGAACATATAATATGTACTATTTGTCTTTCTTCTTTCATTCAGCATAATTATTTTGAGATTCATCCATGTTGTGTGTGTATCAATAGTTCTTTCTTATGTATGGTTTAGTAGTATTCCATTGTATTGATATGCCACAAACTGTTCACCCATTGACTTTTAATGGACATTTGGCTATTAAAACTATTACATTTTTCTGAGACAATTTTTCATGTACTAAATACTACTGAATTAATTTAAACAACATTTAATTAGTGTGTTTATAGAGTATAACTGAAAGTTCAAACCAGAATAGTTATAAAGCAGTATCAATTCATGCCCAACTTGACACTAGTAATAAATTTCAAGATTCATACCTTATCTGACTAGCACAAGTATTAGTGTTCAGATGAGAAATAGGTTTAAGGAAGCTTTGTGTAGTTAATGCTCAAAAACAAATGGTTATCTAGATTACTGGAGACCAAGATTATACATTATATCAGAAGAATAAGACTTTATCCTGCAGATAATAGCACCATTGAAAATTTTTTAGCAAAGACAATGTAGTTGATAATCTTTTCTACTGTTCAGGGTTCTACCCCATCACAAGTTTTGGGAGAATATCCAATTACACCTTTCATTTCTGAAGCCACATTAGGAAGATTCCCCTTCTGCCAATCCCAGGCCAGCAAATACAGGCAAGTAATATAGCCTGAGTCAATCAGCTCCTACCACATGGAACTTTGTTAATAATCCAAGGGTTTATTATCTCACTACAGTAATGGGAAAAGCTTGCTATCTTCCCTTCTTACTGCTCCTGATCATATGTTACTACAGGCGTTTTTTTTTAACCACAAAAAGCATACATATCACCCCAGTCAAATGGCAAAAAGTAAATGGAATAGACAATGGGAAAGAAAGTATAAGATTAACACAATGATTATCAATCATTTAACACGTAAGCATGATAACCATTGCCACTGCCCTTCTAATTTATAAAAGCCATCTCACCTTAAGATTATACAAATTTTGGCCAGGCTTGGTGGCTCACACCTGTAATCCCAGTACTTTGAGAGGTCACGGTGGTAGATCACGAGGTCAGGAGTTCAAAACCAGCCTGGCCAACATGGTGAAACCCTGTCTCTACTAAAAATACAAAAATTATCCCGGTGTGGTGGCACGCACCTGTAGTACCAGCTACTCGGGAGGCTGAGGCAGGAGAATTGCTTGAAGCCAGGAGGTGGAGGTTGCAGTGAGCTGAGATTGCACCACTGTACTCCAGCCTGGGCGACAGAGCAAGACTCCATCTCGGAAAAAAAAAAAAAAAGAAGATTATACAAATTTCAGTACCCACAATTTTTTATTTTCCTAAGCTAGTTTTATAGCACTATTTCTGGGGAGAATTCTTATTGATATATGAAAGTTTTTATTAAAATTTGATTGCCCACATAATATATTAAAAGGCAAAATAAATACAAGTAGCCATGCAACTAATTTTTAATTCACTGTGAATTTCTAATAAGATTGCTAACCCTTAAAATTACTTTTCTTTAGGATATTTTTAAATGTAAAGAATTGCCAATAATGATAAAGTTGAGAAATAAATTAACTCATAAAACTTCTCTGAAATATTAAAAATTCAAATTAGTCATAGAACCAAATGTTAAACTGAAAAAAATTTAAATGTTGTATAATAACAAATAATGGATATATGAAGAAATCTTCAGCAATACTGGTAATCAAAAATCTCAAGCTAGATCTATAAAATTAGAAGTTTTAGAGCATATATGTATTTAGGGTTAAATAATATGGAATAAAATGATTACTCTTTTACAGTGCTGTTAGAAATGCAAATAAGCAAAATCTTCCTGTAAGGGAAGCTGGCAATATGTACCAAGAATTTTTGATTCAGTAATTCTATTTCTAGGAATCTACTTCAAGGATCAGATATGCAGTTGATGATTAATTATAAAGATGTTTACAGACAGGTTATTTGTAACACTAAAAAAATGGAAACCTACATATTTCATAATAGGTTGAAGGTTAAATAAATTTGGTTCAGCCATATGCTGTTAATGTCAGCCACTAAAAAAAAAATTTCCTATGAATATTTAACAACATGGAAAATATTCACAACATTGTAAGTGAAAAAGCTTGAACCTAAAATAACATACCTTCATTGAATATATATTCATTGAATGTCATACTGTGCAATTTTATACATTATACAATTATGTGTAATGCATTGCATACCAAACAATACACACATGTGTGTATATATATGTGAAGTGTGTGTATATCATAATTATAAGTGGAAATTCCTTTGCCCACAATTGTGATATTAGTATAGATAATGCTGGACCCAACAAAATCGTAGTACGGGGATCATGTAAGTGCATTAAATCCTCATGCATTATGAAGAAAGCCAACAGATTATATCTAAAGTAGACAGGTTGGTAAATAATGGCATAGTTGCATTATAATGAATTAATAAGAAAACTACCAAGACAATTAAAAATGAAACGTTTGAATATGGTTGCCTATGAGAAGTTGAAACTCCCGGGCAACCACAGCAAGAGAGGCAATGAAGCAGAGGCACTTCCTTTTGCTATAAGCCTAATACACTATTTTATTTTATTAATGTATATTTGTACTTTCATTTTATAAAGAGAATGCACTTTTAGAAGTTGGTAAAAGAAGCCCATAAAAAAATTCCTCTTTCCCACTCAAGGTCGAAAACTGAGATATAGAGATAGGAATCAGATAACTGGAGATAAAGTATCAACTTTATTAAAAGTTTAATTGAAGGAAGTGACTTAGGTATGTGGCATGACAATCTTGCTAATATTTCACCACTACTTAGCCTTTACCCACCTAGTCACTTGCATAGCTATAAAATAGCAGGCCACCCCTATAAAGGGAGGCAGAGAGCAGAACAGAATCCATGCTTTCTGTACGTAGGCTAGATTTAAAAATCAAAAGGAAAACAAAGTTGAAACAAACATATTGTTTCTTCTTCCAGGGTCAGTGATCGTCTCTATAAAATCACTAACCATCTATTACTCAAACACATGCAGTAAAAGACATCTGCTTTGTGTTAGGTACTTTGCTATGTGCTATGGTAAGCCCAATGAACAATAAAATAGGTAAGACTGCTGTCCCTACGAACTCACAGTCTGGTAAGGGAGACATGTTAACACATAAGGGAGACATATATACAAATAATTCAACAACATCCTGCATATAATTTTCAGTTCTAAGAATCTTTGTTTTGGGAGATCTTTCAGTTCAATTATTTTTTCATATAAAGATAGGAGTTTTGTTGATTTCCATTAACCTTGGTATGTAATACGTAACATCATCTCAGTGAAGTTGTAATAGTCTAATTTAAAGTATTCAGCTGTGCTATATTTAGCCCTTTACCACTTTCAATATGTTTTCCAGGCCAGTTTTTCCATACATGGATTTAAAATAGCCTTTGTGTTTTGTAATATTTAATATTTTAGTGGCAGTTTTCAAATTTATTCATATATTTTTCTAAACAATAAAATTGATTATATTCTTTCATTTCCCAGGTACTTTTCCTGTAGATACTAACCGTGAATATTAGAATAACCCATTTTAAAGACATCAGAGCACTAAAAAAATTTGAATTGGAAGAAGTAATCTATGTAATAGAATTGGGCGACTTGAGTTTTCTATCTGTAAAAGCTAAGTAATCTTTTTTCCAATACAGGTACAAAAACAATACTACTATAACCCAATAATGCTCACAACATTCTGGTAGATTACAAAATTATAGTAAAATGTCAAAAGTATTGTTAGACTACCATCAATAAGCACTGAGTAATTTTTAAAACCTTCTTTTATCATTTGAAGAAGGTTATTTGCTATTAAGTAAGGTCAGCCATATAATATACATTTGTTATAACTAGAAACACCCTATAAAAAACATTTTACTGGATTCTTATGATATAAAAATGATTTGGCCTGTTAAATGTGACAGCTTGAACAAATGCATTTATTTCTGTTCCATTCAAAAACA
This sequence comes from Homo sapiens, assembly GCF_000001405.40. Lineage (NCBI taxonomy): Eukaryota > Metazoa > Chordata > Mammalia > Primates > Hominidae > Homo > Homo sapiens. Next base: position 121,348,868 of record NC_000006.12, read on the forward strand.
CCACTAAAATGATAAATACAAAAGACATAAACTCACAAGGACAAAGAGAATGTTAGAAATCACAGAGAATTTGGTTTGTTCAAGTGTGGAGACTGCAGGTTAGGGTTTACCTACTCGGACATAAGCTGATGAATCTGGGAAGAATTTTTCAAAGTTGTGACAAGGATTTAGCTTGTCATCTCACCTCATCCTATTCAAGGAAGCATATTTTAGAAAGAATACTTATAGTACATGTATGTAAGGATTTGCCTTAAGTCAAGCCATAACATACAAGAAGACAGAGTTCAGTGGAGGCCTTACATGTATTCTGAGTGTAGGCAGGCTTCTTTTTTACACCAAGAAACAACCAAAGGAGATTATGCATCCTCCGAGTATGGGTAAAAATATATGCTAAAGTCAGGCCTTATCAGACATAGGCGGATATACTCAGAGGAAAAGCATTTGGTAAGGAATATAGACATAGGTTTAATGAAATGTCAAGGCAAACTAACCTAAAAGAGAAATGTTATTTGTTTGGGAAGAGAGAAATAAATTGGAAGATATAGCTCACCAAATGTAGGCAGCTTATACCCTACAGGAACTTAGCTATCCACGACTTTAAAATACCAGGCCTACCGTAATGACTCCCATACTTTTATCTCCAGCCCCTAATGTTGCACCTGCACTGTACACTCCTATATGCAACTGCCACCTGGATATTTCCATTTGCTTAGATAATAGGACTTTTATCATTTAACATTTCCAAATTGAACTTTGGAATATGTGCTATCTCTTCTTCCTTCTGGAGTCTTCCCCATCTCAGTAAATGCCCTACCTCCATTTCCAGTTACTCAGGCTAAAACACTGAAATCATTCTTGACTCCTCTCTTTCAGTCATGCATCATATCCAAGCTATCAGGAAATCCTGCCAGTTCCACTGTCAAGCATATCCAGAATCTGTCCATTTCTTATCACATCCAGTGATCCACATTCCAGTCAAGCCACCATCTCACTTTCTGATTTCATCTACATCTAATCTTCCTCCTGCCTCCTCCAAGCCCTTCTAATCCGTAGAGACTTCCCTGCTATTCCTAAACACATTAAGCATTTTCTTACCTCAAAGCCTTTGAAGTTTTGATTTCCTCTGACTGGAATGCTCTTCCCTTTAGGTATTCATATGGCTTATTCACTCACTTCCTTTAGATTTCTGCCCAAATATCAGTAACATAAAGAGAGATCTTTACTGATCACCTAATATTAAAAAATAAATAGCAAGACATCCTTTCCTGATCCTTTATCACAAAGTTTTCTATAATCTGATTATTTTCTGAGCAGTTAAAGAATCAAGCAAGAACTTTTCAACTCTCTTGTGAAAATTTTAATACTGATTTTTTACCTCACTTTGGTACTTACATGCCTTATTGGAAACTTAAAGTTTAACATCTTACCACATTTTTTAAAGTTATGCTTTTCTCATTAGATGTTAGCTCCATCAAAGTAGCTAATCAGTTTTCATCAGTTTATTGCCAGCATCCATAATATTGCCTGGTACATACCTTTCTAGGGTATTTGTTGAATGAAAGAAAACAGAAGAGAGGTGAAGGAATTACCTGTATGACAGTAAAAGGAAAGATCTGAATAGCAGACCTTGAAAGCAGTCATAATGGAATAGAGGGTAAAATAGTTCTGGAATTTTTTCTACAAAATAAAAATGGAAATGATTGATCAACTGAAACATTTGGCCATATTGTGATGACTTGCTTGCAATTATCTTGGAGAGTTTGGAGAGAAGTAGTGATAGGATTATAGAAAAACAAAGCCAACAATAACAATACAACAAGGCAAATGTTGCTCCTAGAAAAACAAAACATTGTACAGAAAAGTAACTATAACTGTAGCATACTATGTGGCTCACCATTGAGCAGTATTTCCATATCACAAAAATAAAAGCGATGAATATGACTTATTAAAAATCATGATATAACTACATAAGCAGAATGAAGAGGGAACATATGTGTTATAGTACTACATCTTTATCTTCTATATTAGAAAGTCAATATATGCTTGAAATTGAAAAAATCAAGGAATACCAGTATATATGTAGTATTTAAAAATACAGAGGTGGCCAGGCATGGTGGCTCATGCCTATAATCCCAACACTTTGGGAGGCTGAGGTGGGAGGATAGCTTGAGTCCAGGAGTCAGCCTGGGCAACATAATGAGACTCAAGTCTCTAACAATATATATTTTTAAATTTTATATATACATATATATTTTTTAAATAAAATAAAAATACAGAGGCAAATGAAAGAAGAAAAAAATTAAGTATTGTTATTGCTTACCTCTAATTAAAATTACATTCCATGGGTGGGGAGAGGTACGGCCGAGGATTAGGGCTTGTTGATTAGAAACCTTGCACTGTTTGCTCTTTTAAACTATATGCATATATTACTTTTAAAAATAAAAATTATACTTAAATACATTTTTTTGTATTATGAAGTGACAACAAGTAATGATATAAAAAGATGACATAAAATTCAGATCCTCTGTAGGACCAGAATCTACACCATGTTTATCAAAGAGGAAACCCTCAAAGCACTTTCAATGAAATTCAATGCCAAGTAGAGTTCAAAATTTCTTTTGTCAAAGCTGTATTTAATGTCTTTTCTTTTATAATAATCTTTCTTTTACTTTTCTTCATCTTTGTACCTTCAAAAATTGTACTCCTAACCAACAAGTTGTTTAGTGTTGCCTGTTTTTGACTTTCTATAAATGAATCCCTATTTATACAAATGAGGGTCTTCCATGACTTGCTCCATTTGCTCATATATATTGATACATTTGTGCGATTCATCCAAGACAATATGTAGCTGCCATTACTTCTGTTTTGCCGCTGTACACTATTCAAATATTTGCCTGTACTAAAATTTTTGTTCAATTCACTTTTGGTTGACATGAGTTGTTTACATATTTTTGCCATTACAAACAAAACTACTAGATCACATAGGATTGGAATTGCTTCTTGTATATTCATTTTAAATCCAGTAACATTATTTTTTCTTAATTCTATTTGTAAACTTTTTACTATTATATGTCTATTCATATCTTCTGCAAATAATGACAATTTTTTTTTCCCCCAGTCCTTTATTTTCCTGTCTTACTCTGCTGGACCTCTACTACACATTGAGCCTGAGGGTTGGATTGTAATTCATATTCTCAGCTATGTTAGCTATGTGTTTTCACCCTTCCCAGGACAGCCATTATGTCCAAGAATGTTGATTATCCTTGTTTCCTTGGGGAGTAAAGTGAGGAGGGAAGGTCTGATTTTGGCTCACCCTTACATAGCCATTTGACATCCCACTTTTATGGGGGAGGAATGTCCTCCTATTAGACTCCTTATCTTAGATATATGCCTTGAATTTGTTTCTTGTTCCAATACCCTGTGAGGCCATCGAGAAATGTGGTTAGGAAGGAAGCCAGTTCCATTTCTCCACTTACCTTTCTGAGTTCCTGACTTCGCTTAGATAACAGACCTAAGATTTTCTTAGTTTACTGTCAGTTCATTGATACATTTAAGAAAATATTATTAAATATATTTTACCAGAAATGTTCTCTTGTTTTTATCAGAGAATTAAGGTAGGCATCTAGCCTGCCATGTGGTCAGAAACGGGCAAATGAATTTTAGAACTAAAAAAGAAAAAAAAAACAGACTAAACTTCTGATTCTTCAGACAAGGTGCAATAACTAGTTTACATGTGCTCTTTGAAGTAAGGCCAGTTTTCTAAGCCATTTTGAAATCCTTTTTCAATGACAATGCTAAGGTTCTTTTGTTTGTTTGTTTTTGTTTTGGTTGTTGTTGTTTTGTTTTGTTGTTTGCCTCTTCCAACAAAAGCCATATACTATGTATTCCACAACAGAAGGGAGGAAAAGAAACAGTGCATTGATTGCACCCTGAGGTCATTTTTTTTTTCTAATGAAAACACATTATTCCAGAAAAAATATCTCCATGCCAACACATGTTAAACCAGTGAGTTGCACATCAAGTTTTGAAAAAAAACCCTACACAAAGTTCTTCACAATTGGTTGACATTTCTTAAAAATAACAGTAATGTTTCAGCATTCCTCAGAGATCACATTATTCTTTTATAGTCCATTTGAGTTACTTCTGCATGCCACATCAAAAACCAATAATGTCTTCAGAAACAGTGCCAAATAAACAGAGTTAAGATTACTCAAATAAATAATGTTAATCTTAAAAATTTTTGCTATTTTTTTAGAACAAAAAAGGGCATTCATAAAATTTTATGTCTGATTTAATTTGTTTACTCTGTGGGTGTGGCCCTTCGTTATTTATTTGTGTTGCTATTCAATTCAACATTTGCAGAACAAAATGACAGGAATTTTGAGTCCCATGTTATTGCATGGATTGCAACTAAAATTGTCAGATTTGACTCATATTCAAAGGAGAAAATCAGTCACTAAAATAAGTAGTATCAATGAGATTTTTAACTGTAAAATAAATTGCTAAAAAATTATTTATTGTTTGAAATTCAACAACATCTGTCAGTTTTCAGAAGCAAGACTCCTTTTTTTACCCATAATATCTAGAACTAACTGTGGCATATGGGAGAAGCTAAATACTCATGAAATGAGTAATAGTATTAAGGAATATTAAATTAGTAGGTTTTCACACTGCTAAAGAACTGTCTGAGACTGGGTAATTTAAAAAGGAAAGAGGTTGAATTGACTCACAGTTCCACATGGCTAGGGAGGTCTCAGAAAACTTACAATCATGGTGGAAGGTGAAGGGGAAGCAAGCTTGGACCTTTTCACATGGCAGCAGGGAGAGAAGAGCAAGCAGGGGAAATACCAGATGCCTATAAAACCATCAGATCTCATGAGAATTCACTCACTATCACAAGAACAGCATTGGGGAAACCTCCCCCCGCCACCCTGCCCCATAGAATCGCCTCCCACTGGGTCCCTCCCTTGACATGTGAGGATTATGGGGATTACAATTCAAGATGAGATTTGGGTGGAGACACAGTCAAACCATATCAGATATGAAATAGAATTCTTCATTTGTATCAGAAAGGGAATTACAGAGAGAAGAGAAGCTTTGGGGTCCCACATATCTGGGGTTGCATTTCAGCAATATTGCTTATTAACTCCTTGGCACTAACAAGTGAGCATCAGATTCCTAATCTGCAAAAGGAGAGTCAAATGCCTAACTCACAGGGTTGTTGTGGGTATTAAATGAGATGGTGCATAAGCAGTTAGCATAGTGTCTGGCAAAGAATGGTTATTCAGTAACAGCTATTTTGCTCCACTCCCCACCCACTTTTTCAAACATGATTTTAAAATGACCTCTTTTACTACTGACATTGAATATGTTGCCTATATCTGATTTCCATTATGGTAACTTTTCTTCTTTATGACAGCACTCCTTTCGTAGTCCATCAGATCTTCTTTAGTTTCTAGCCAAGTGATAAAATATTTTTATTAAAAGTGTTCACTTCAGCAGCATATATACTAAAATTGGAATGATATGGAGAAGAGTAGCATGGCTCTTGCACAAGGAAGTCATGCAAGTTTGTGAAGTATTCCATTTTAAAAAATAAAAAAGTAATAAAAATAAATAAAAAGAAGGAGAAAGGTGTACAGGACTCCCATTTTATTCACTAATTTCGTCACTGATCATGGCATCTTCAGTGAACATGCATTTGAACATAAATGGAATTCATACTGATCCTTGTCATAATTACATTCTTTATCACCTTAATGGTCATTGGTAATGATAGTATTCGGGTGTGGGGCTTTTTTTTTGAGACAGGGTCTCACTCTGTTGTCCAGGCTGCAGTGCAATGGTATGATTACAGCTCACTACAGCCTTGACTCTCAGGCTCAAGTGATCCTCCCACCTTAGTCTCCCAAATAGCTAGGACAGCGGGCATTCACCACCGACCCAGCTAATTTTTTAATTTTCGTAGAAATGGGATGTCACTATACTACCCAGGCTGGCCTTGAACTCCTGAGCTCAAGTGATCCTCCTGCCTGGCTTCCCGAAGTGCTAGGATTACAGGCATGAGCCACCGCACGTGGCCACTGGGGGGCATTTAATACACTGAAATTTCATTTGAAATTTTGTGATTTAAAGGTTTATCTTCGCTAATTCAGAACAATATAAAAATATACAGACTAATAACATGGAAAGTAATTTGAAATTTAACAAATTGAGAATGTAGGACATTCATTAATAGCCATTAATAACATCATAAGATAGCAATTCATGAATGGAAGAAAGGAAAATATTCATATTCATTCTTTATAATTTGATCTATATAAAATGCCAAAAGCACTAATAATACATGGATATAAAATATTCTTTTTGCCCTGTGTTAAGAGAATACTGCTATATTCAGCTGTGTTGCTTGTCTTTTCTCATGAAAATATGTATATATTTTTAAGAAAACCAAAAAGTCTTGTTGTATTTGCTTGTTATCTATTGCTGCATAAAACATTATTCCAAAACCTAGCATTTAAAACAACATTTATCATCTCATAGTTTTTGTGGGTCAAGATCCAGACATGACTAAGCTAGGTATCTCTCCCTGAAGGTCACTCGTAAAGCTACAAACAATGTGTTGGCTGGGGCTGAAAAATAAAGGAGCATTCAGAGAACAAGAACGTATTCTTAGAAATTAGAAACACAGTTGTCAAATTAAAAAAATATGCTAAGTTGAACTTCTAAATGTTAATGTTGAGACTATTTCTTATTAATATAACAAAATTATGAAAAATTTCACCACTGAAGAAAACAAATAAAGTTAAATGACCAAAACCAAGAGATCTCTGTTTAACCAACAGAATTTTCAGAAACAAAAAAAAGAAAATGCATGAGATACAATTATTAAAGATACAATTTAAGTAAAAATATCAGAATGAGAAAATATACATTTCCACATGAAAAAGGCCGCCAAATGCCCAGAACAATGACTGAAAAAAAAAAATCATACAAAGTGTGCTGGAAGCAAGACCCTGACTCACCAAAAAAAAAAAAAAAAAGGAAAAAAATGACATTTTTATATACGCAAGTCCATAAACCTTTTCTTAGAAAACAACTGGAAGATGAGTTTTGCTGAAATGAGGTAGTCAACCACAAAGTAAAAGACATGAAACTCAGAAAATATAAACTTCAACATAGCAAACAGGTAAGGGATTTCTTAAATGATCGTGAGTGGATGGCCCAGAATGACAGCTCTGAGGCAGGCACTGAAATTTACCACTCTAGACTGAAGCAGGAAGATGAAGGATGCCTAGTGTGATTTCTCAAGGATCCAAAGGAAACTACTGAATTTCCTGATTTTTAAAACATGATTAAGAGTTTATTTCAGCTTTTTAAAAAGATTTTTGTTGCAGAGTTTGTGGATAAATCAATCACAGTTATAAAAAAAACTAAACCCTCCCAAAATGAGGCAGTCATTAATTCCAAAAGGAAATATAAGAATTGTACAATTTATGTCACAGCAATGAACAATATAGAGTAAAAGTACATAGCCATAATCATAATAATGCAAAACTAAATGTTGACTTCACCAAAACTTATGATGTAATTCTGCTGGAAGAATGGATGGAGGACAATTGGTAAAAGGTGGCTTTCACAGTAGGAAATAAGTTATAATGATCAAACTGATATAATAAGAAATAGGAATTTAAGCAGAAGTTTTCAAATAACAGGTAAATTATAAATTTAAAAAAATAAAACAATTTAAGAGTTGAAAATGGTAGGTTCAGGAGAGAAATTATCTGGGAGTAAGCCATAGGTGAAGCAGTGTATGACCTGCTACTTTTCATTATCAACTCTGACTTTTAAACTATGTACATGTATTACTTTACTATATACAATTAAAAATGTTTAAAGCCTGAAACACTAAATGTCACACCCTAGTGTTAGACTGTGGTAAATTCCTCAAGGTAGCGTTTAGTCTATGAGATCTCTTAATTTTAGCTAACCTTCCTTGATCTAATAATTATGGGTTTGCATATTCAAACAAAATATCACTAGTAAAAAGTCTACAATACTATTCTTGTACAAAGAAAACTATATAAATATTGAAGATTTTAATTAACAGTAAAATATGAAATGTCACCAACTTTTGCTTTCTCAACCAATTTTTTTTTCCAGTCGTTTGTGAGGAGACACAAATGGAGAAGTCCAAAAAGTTTGAGAAGTAATAGTGAGGCGGGAAGGGCATGGGAGTGGTATGAGTAAAAGTACTCACCAATTATCAAAAACCTAGCAATTTTGGATTTTACAGATTACAAAGATAGTGATGGAATTCAAAATCTTCTATCTCTAATATGTGTCATAGATGTCACACTGGCTTCCTGTGTAGTTTTCTCTGAAGAATATCTGGGCTTTACTTCGAATGTGAAGACATACAATACAACAACAATGATCATTGATACTCATTACAACTTTGATTGTCTACAGTAGACATAAGCAAAGAATGATAGTATGGCAGTGTAAGCACTTGCATTAAAGTAGCTATACAACATGTAGATAGAAAAAAGTGCTTTTAAGACACAAAAATACAAGATTACTCACTTCCTCACTAATGAAGACCCCCAGAAAAGCAATTTTTAAAAAATAGTTCATAATTTCACATGATAATTAGTATACAATGTATATGTATATCAAGTCATCATATTGTATATCTTGGGTATATACAATTTTAATTTGTCAATTAAAAATACTTTAAAATTTCAAAAAGAAAAAGAAATAGCTGGGCTTGCTGGATTCAAAATTTTGAGACAAGAAAAAGCACAAAACACAAGGAAATTTGTTCCCTCAAATTTAATCTTACACTATTCTACCTAATGTCAAATAATTTATTCTACCAATACTTCATTTTTTTAGCTTGATAGGTTGGGGAAGGACATTAATAATTCATAATATATTTAATAATGTCTTTATAAACTCTCTACCTTGTCCAATAGCCAGTGATATAGAAATATATTACTTTCCAACTTAGTAAACCAATGAAATAAGCATATTATATACATTCTTCTGTCACTTGCTAGGTAGCTTATATCTACCAGATGTCTGCTCCTACTTTTTTATATCAAGATGGAGCTTTCCTAGGGCAAACTTTCAAGACTAGTAATTTATTTTTTGACAGCACTAGATAGACCTAAAGTAAGGATCAGAATCCTATTGGAGAAAATACACTGCTATCAGCTACTTCACTATACATTTCATAACAGAGCAGACAATTTCAGAGACCTGTGGGTAAACAGTGAATGACAAACAGGATTCTGCCCCCTATTAAGTCAGTACCTTGCTGTTTGATTTTCTGCATACCCAAAGCACATTATTAATCTTGGCAGTTGAGAGCTTACTATTGTCCTCTCTCTACTTTGTGTTGAACTTTTTGCTTTCTTTTGCTTTAAATATCATAAGACAATAATTTCATATGAGTAAAAAAAGAATCCAATAGAAGAGAAGCTAAACACGATTGCATTAACTTGTATTCTGTGTACTCTTGTAATGACTTTAATTTATGACACAAGTTTACATTTTGCATATATCTTCAGTACTTACTAAATGTTACTAACAGGAATTAAGGGTGACTCTATGGAATAAGTCTTAACATTATCTGACAACTAGTCTATGGGTAAAAGAGTAAGAGGACTTTCTCTAAATCACTGACATTATATAATGGTGCTTAAAAGAGAGCTTATCCTCCTGATGAACCAATAAAACAACAGTACTTTGTTTCTAGACAAACTTCTCTCATAGTTAAACATAAGGCACTACCTATAGTGACTATGAAATATTGTTAATATACAGTTGTGATGAAAGCAATAAGTCACACAGGAAAGATATGAATAATTCATTTTTTCCTAAAGGTTTAATCGTTAGGTCTACTTCAAAACATTTTCTAAGGCAAAAAATCAAGACAAATAATTCTTTTGATACCTAGCTGTTAAGGCTTTGCATACCAGAAAAATATATCTGCTTCACAAAGTCAGATAAATATCCTGAGGTACAAAAACTGTGGCTATTGATTGTGTATATTTTTATTCAAAGGATCCCTGTATTTCAGATGCTTCTCTGTGGTAAAGAATAAAAATATAGCTCATAATTTTCTTCTAAAGATCTAAATAAATGCTCATGAGCCAAAAAAAAAAGTGTCAGTTTCATCCCTAGAATGCTTTTTATTTTTTACACCAAGAATATTTTCAGCTATTGATTTATCTTCACTTTAACTCCAAACATTTATCACATCATTATACCATCTGTAACCTATTTCAGAAATTATTCCTAACCTGAAAACTCATTTGGGGGTGTAGCTAGGCAGTAGTATAAAGCAATCAACATTTTATCACTTGGTAACAGCTAAATGTCATATCCAGTTATCTACATCTGATTCTACTATGTCATTATGAAAGGATGCATTAACAATAAACTAGGTACTATGCAGTATTGCTGATCTCACTCTCCTCTTCTATGTTCCAACAGAATGTTTTAATTTCACAGGAATTACTTACTAAATTTTGAAAATCACTTGACTGTAAATTCCCCCATTCTCTCATTTTTCAAAAAAAAACCAAAATAAGTAATAAAATGAGCAGTGATTCCAAACAAGGATCCAGATTCTAAAAGGACAGTTCAACTAAATATTCTGATAAAGCAGGATTTTAATACTACACTTTACAATGTTTAGAAACAAGGACACTATCCAAAACACATGCTTAATTGTGCTACTATTGGTATGTAAACACTTCAAGATGTAACAAATTAGTACTTTTTGACCAGAATCAGTTGACCATCAAGGTCTTTCTAAAATTAGACTTCTCATGTCTAAAGAAAGACACCACAATTTGTCATTATAGCTGTTTTTGCATATATGTTTTGTCAGTTAACTAGTAAGCATAAGTGTGGACTGAAAAATAAATACTAGGTATGTATACAAGTATGTGTCTTTATTAATCACATAGTCTATTTTTCTATGTTATAACTCCAATTGTTGTAGAAAAATATTACGTTTTATTTATTAAAAAAATATTTATTTATTTATTGAGTCAGGGTCTTGCTCTGTTGCCCACGCTGGAGTGCAGTGGTATAATCACAGTTCACTGCAGCCTCGATCTCCTGTGCTCAAGCATTTCTGTCACCTCAGCCTCCCAAGTAGCTGCAACTACAGGTACGTGACACCATGCCCAGCTATATTTTTTATTTTTTGTAGAGATAGGGTCTCACTATGTTGTCAAGGCTGATGTCAAACTCCTAGACTCAAGTGATCCTCCTGCCTCAGCATCCCAAAGTGCTGGGTTTACAAGTGTAAGCCAACATATAAACCTTCATATCCTCTTTCTTGGCCTGACCACTATGAATAATTTTCTTAAGTCTTAAATGCCTAGGTTTTGTTGTGCATATCAGAGTACCAAATAAAGAAATAACTGAAAGGGGTTTGAGCTAGATTGCTTTATACTGGAAATGACAAAGAGTTGCTTGCAGAAGAAAAATATGGATCCTAAAGGAAAGGAGGGCAAGAAAGGTAAGGACTAATCCAGGCTGTCTTTAGGGCATATTTTAAGAAATTCTGAGCCGGGCGTGGCGGCTCACGCCTGTAATCCCAGCACTTTGGGAAGCCAAGGCGGGTGGATCACCTGAGGTCAGGGGTTCGAGACCAGCCTGACCAACATGGAGAAATCTCGTCTCTACTAAAAATACAAAATCAGCCGGGCGTGGTGGCGCATGCCTGTAATCCCAGCTACTCAGGAGGCTGAGGCAGGAGAATTGCTTGAACCCGGGAGGTGGAGGTTGCAGTGAGCCGAGATCGTGTCATTGCACTTGCACTCCAGCCTGAGTAACAAGAGTGAAACTCCGTCTCAAAAAAAAAAAAAATCTTAGGATGAATACACAGTGAGCTGCTCTACCATGTGGTACAGGACTTTAAGAAGATAGGTGAAAAAGGATTTAAATATATTTTGTTGTGTATTATGACCAAAAATCCTTTTTGGTGTTTTTTCAGAGATATTAGTAAATGAAATTGCTTTCTGAATTGTTATGTTTTTGTTTGTATGTTTGTTCTCTAGTTACATGTTATGCTCAGGTTGACTTCAGAGTGAGAGCAGGAGGTCCAGCTTTATACGGATTACAATATAGATTATTGATTATTACTCCAATAGGTGGTAGATATTTAAACGGTAATTTCAAAGAAAAGTAGTCCAATTTTTCAATTTCTTCAAAGTTTTGCTGTGGGCTATAACATAATAAACCAGACTATTAGGAATTTGATATATTCTGCAACTTCTATTTGGTTACAAACACCATATACTTTATGAATAACTATTTAAAACCAAAGCATATTACCACACAAATTAAAATAGACTGTGTGATAATAGGTGCACAGTAATGAGTAACTGACATTTATTAAATGTTTACTCTGTATCAATATTTTTTCTAAATAGCTGACACATATTAATTCTTTTGCTATGCCCACCATAACTGTAATGTAGAACTAGTTTTTGCCCATTTTTTAAAAGTGGAAACTGAAGTACCAAAAAGATAAATAACATGCTTAAGGTCACATAATACCAATTGGTAAGTAGTGCAGTTGGGTTGAAAACCAGGCAGTCTGGTTCCAGAGCCTACCTTCTTAACCTCTTATATTATCCTGTTTCTTTAAAACAGTATGTTTAAACCTTATAGAAAAAGAAATCAAATCTAAAGATATTTCATTATTAATAACAAAAGAAATCAATTTTCACAATATAAATTTTAAAACAATCCTATTCTCAATGATACAAATAATGTGCTCTGAATGGGATTTTGTTTATGTGCTACCCCAATTCATGTGCTCACCTTGCTTTCTGGCTAGAGTTGCCATTTTTATCAATGGTGTAACAACTTGTCTGAGAAAAAAAAAACAAAAGTCACTTTTTTTGCATGTTTTCCTAAATAAGAAAGAAAATAAGTAGTATGTCAGGGTGTTTCAGATTTATAAAGTAAAATTTAACCAAGAGCTTCTAGAAACACCTGGCTTGTGGCCATGTACAGTACAGATGGACATAAGCTGTCTGCAGAGAGTGGAGAAAGAGAAAGAGAGAGAGAAAAAATTATGTATTACATATTGTAATTTAATATATATTGTATATATTTGGAAAAACTAATAGATACAAATCATACCGTTGAGCCTGGGTTGTTTCGTGAGAAAGTTGTATAGGATTTCCTTACTATTGCTCCTGGGGCATAATAGGGTCAATGAGTATGAATTCTAGGGACACAATATCAGTTAAAATTCATGGGGAGTAATGCAGTTAACAGAAACGTGGAAATGATCCCAGTAGGGGACTAAAAGGACCAGTCTGTAAACAAATATATACAATGCTCATCATGGCAAGAAATCCTGATCAAATAGCTATGGAGTAACCTTTCCTTTATCTCAAAAGAGAATTACACTGCGGGTGATCTGTACTAAGGTTTTACCAGGATCATCTCTGTAGTTGTTGAAATTAAATTGCCACTTCCATAGGGAATTGCCTAGAAAATGACTTTATCATGGAACAGTAACCTAAGAGCTTACTTCAAAATACAGTCCTTAAGGATTGTTTTAAGAATGATAAGAGCATTGGTAACATCCTAAAAGGGTGTTCTCAGAATCACCTAAATGAGGCTGATTTTTAAATCATTCTATTGTGTAGTTCAATGAGACTCCCTACATGTGAAATTTAATACCCAAGAACTTTTCAATATGTGGATGCGTTCGTCCACAAAACCATTTATTTGACTCCAAACATATTTGTGTTTGGTTTCCGTGCAGTTTTTTCAGTGTAGAGAGATGAATGTCTTATAGTAGACCTTGAGAAAAATCTCATTTGGGGAACTTGAAATATCTGCCACCACCATGTGTAAGCCAGCAGTGTGTAAATCCTCAGCTCAAAGTGCCCGTGTTGTTTTTCTAGACATCAGCCTTGTTTTTTGTGTGTCTATGAAGGACAAGAAGAAATTTGCCCTCTGTGATCCAAATGAGATCATAGGATTATGAGTGAGTCTCACCATGAGCCCACAATTTCTTGCCTGAAAAAAGTAATAAAAAGAAATGGAACATTTTTACCCCTTCTGACATTAATCCAGTCCTGCTGGTAGAGGCTGTGCTGTAGGTGTTGAGCAAACCCTTTGTCATTCACCTGAACCTCTGGAACGCCAGACCATCTGGAAAATTAAAGAATCTCACGTTCAAGCAGAGGGCAGGAAAGTGCAGGTAATATCTGGATATTGCTCGTCACTGTGTTTGAAGTAGAATAAAGAGACAATAAAACATTTTGGCTGGTTTCTACACCTTGAGGACTTATTTTTCTCTTTGTGATGTGACAGTTTAAATGAGCAAACTAACTTAAAATGGGAAAATATCTCTAATTTTTGCAAGACCTACAACAATACAGAACCCACCCAACATTTGACTAAAATTTTCCAAATATTTACCCCATGTAAATGCACATCTAAATTAATATAATGATTTTTCCAAAAAATTAACAAATTATAAAACAAATGTTTAGAGTAGGGGAAAAGTATGCTGACTTAATTAACTTTGGAAGTATGTGGTGTCTATAGGACTAAAAGCAAAAGAAAGTGTAAATAAGCACGGTACTCTGGTTGATAAAACATTTTCTCCGCAGTAGTATAGTTTAACAGTTCTAATATTAATATCCATGTATACTGTAATTGAAAAATTAAGTAAAAGGATGGCAGATGGTAGAAGCCAGATGTCTCACTGTTAGAGTGGGAGTTTACAAATAAGCCAGTAGGAGAGGCTAGAATGATCCATGTGGTAATGGAATAGAGTTGGAGACATCTGTATGAACTCATGTTTAGTTTAATATGGATAAAGATGATTAATTAGAAATATTTATAGATAGGCATATATACATGGGTTAGTATACACAAGTATATCCTTGTTCTACCAGTTGAAATGGCTTAGAAGCAACAATAAAGATGATTAATTAGAAATATTTATAGATAGGTATATATACATGGGTTAGTATACACAAGTATATCCTTGTTCTACCAGTTGAGATGGCTTAGAAGCAACAACACCCTGAAAGCAAAGAACAGCCGGGCACAGTGGCTCATGCATGTAATCCCAGCACTTTGGGAGACTGAGGTGGGCAGATCACGAAGTCAAGAGATCAAGACCATCCTGGCCAACATGGTGAAAACCTGTCTACTAAAAATACAAAAATTAGCCAGGCATGGTGGCGCACGCCTGTAGTCCCAGCTACTCAGGAGGCTGAGGCAAGAGAATCACTTGAACCCAGAAGGCGGAGGTTGCAGTGAGCCGAGATCATGCCACTGCACTCCAGCCTGGCGACAGAGTGAAAGACTCCATCTCAAAAAAAAAAAAGAAAAAGAAAAAGCAAAGAACATGCCCAGCACTCAGATCTGATTTCTAAGATCATTCTCTAATAAAAGGAACAATGGGTCCTTGGATAAATGGCTGATTCTAGTACTAATGAAGGTGATATAGAATATGAATTGGACCATCTTGTAGTGTTAGAAAAGTAAGTGCTCAAAATAAAACAAAAACCCACAATGATGGAGATATGTCAAAGGGACAGAGAAGCCAAGTGAAAGCCCTCCCATTGGCTCAAACTTTCACAATTTTAGCAACAAAATAAAGTAGTATTAGGTTATTACCCAGTATAAAATAAATATCCAAGAGTCCATATTAAAATAAATAAATGATTGAATAAATAAATAGGGGAGAAGATACAAATTTCTCATACAGAATAATTTCAAATAATATATGTATATACTCTGTTCCCAGGGAAGTGGAACATAACTCCTATACCTTAAATGTGGGCTTTGCGTAGTGACTTTATTCAAAAAATTACAATATGAAAAAAGAGAAAGAAAAAAGTAAACTTAAAGTAAAAAAAAAAATTGATGAACGCTACCTAGGCAGGTGATCAAGGTCAACATGAACTGTTTGCATTATGTTGATAGTACCCTTGATACAACATGATAAAAATATCATTTTTACCTCTGTGATCTTTCTCCCCAAACCCAAAATGCCAGTCTAATCATGAGAAAAATACCAGAAAAATCATAATTGATGAAGCAATTCTACAAAATACCTACCTAATATTCTTCAAAACTGGCAGTCATCAAAAGCAAGTCTGAGAAACTGTTACAGCCAAGAAGAACATAAGGAGGTGTGACAACTAAATGTAATGTAGAGGAGGCAGAGCAACAATAGAAGCCTCCACTGATTGTTCTTTTGTAGGAACACCAAATTTAACAGCTATACACACACACACACACACACACACACACACACACACACACACCCCTTCATAAAAACAAAAAATCAGGTGAGTCATAGCAGTACCTGGTTTTAACTTCATATCACTGAAAGAGGCACTGAAGTGGGTAGGAAAGATAGTCTTGGATTGCTGCCACCATCCCTCCCCCATCCGCAAGCAGTGACTGCATGCCATGGAGGGAGAATCTGCACTTACAGTGGAGAGAGCACAGCAATTGTGGGTCTCTGCACTGGAACTCAGTGCTGCTGTGTCACAGCAGAAAGCAAAACTGGGCAGAACTCAGCCTGTGCCCATGGAGGGTGCATTTAGACCAGCTTTAGCCATACAGGAATTGCTCATTTTAGCACTCAGAATCTGAGTTCCAGTAAGTCCTGTCATTTCAGGCTAAAGGGCTCTGGGGTTCTAAATAAACTCGCAAGGCCAACTAAGCCACAAGGACTGCAATTCACAGGCAAATACTGATGTTACGTTGGGCTCAGAGCCAGTGGACTTGGGGAGCATGCAACCTAGTGAGACACCAGCCAGGGTGGCCATGGAAGTGCTTGCGCCACCCCTCTCTGAAACCCAGGCAGCACCGCTCACAGCTCCAGGAGAGACAACTTTTCTCCACCTGAGGAGAGAAGAGAGAAGAGTAAAGAGGACTTTGTCTTGCAACTTAGATAACAGCTTATCTACTGTAGGATAGGGAAACAGGCAGAGTCCTGAGGACCCCATTCCAGGTCCTTGCCCCTGAATGATATTTCTAGACACACTCTGGTTAAAAAAAAAAGCCCTCTGTCTTAGGCAAGGAACCAGTCCTGGAAGGATTCATCATCTGCTGATGAAATACCCCTTAGGCCCCTGAGCAATCAGCAGTCTTAGCCAGGTAGTACTTTCCGTAGGCCTTGGGTGAAGACTCAGAGATGTGCTGGCTTCAGGTGTGACCCAGCACATTTCCAGCTATGCTGGCTATGGGGAGACACCCGTTCTTCTTGAGAAAAGAACAGGGAAGAGCACATGGATATATAAAGCAAATATTACTAGAACTAAAGAGGGAGATAGACCACAATAATAGCTAGAAACTTCAACACCCCACTTGAAGCATTGGACAGATCATTCAAGACAGAAAATCAACAAAGGAACCTTGGACTTAATCTGCACTAAGACCAAATCGAACTAATATTTACAGAACATTTTATCCAACAACCTCAGAATACATATTCTCCTCAGCACATGGATCATTCTCAAGGATAAACCATATGTTAGGCCACAAAACAAGTCTTAAAGCATTTTAAAAATTGAAATAATATCAAGTATCTTCTCTGACCACAATAGAATAAAACTAGAAATCAATAACGAGGAATTTTGGAAGCTGTACAAACACATGGAAATTAAACAATACACTCCAGAATGATGAGTGGGTCAATGAAAAAATTAAGAAGGAAACTGAAAAATTTCTTGAAACAAATGATAATGGAAACATAACATAGCAAAACCTATGCAATACAGTGAAAGCAGTATTAAAAGGGAAATTTATAGCCATAAGTGCATACATCATTAAAGAAGAAAAACATCAAATAAACAACCTAACAATGCATCTTAAAGAGTGAGAAAAGCAAGAGCAAACCAAACCCAAAATTAGGAGAAAAAAAGAAATAATAAAGATCAGAGAAGGGCCAGGCATGGTGGCTCACACTGTAATCCCAGAACTTTGGGAGGCTGAGGTGGGCAGATTGCTTGAGCTCAGGAGTTTGAGACCAGCCTGAGCAACATGGTGAAATGTCGTCTCTGCAAAAAAATTTTTGCTGGGTATGGCGGCATATTACTGTGGTCCCAGCTACTTGGCAGGCTGAGGTGGGAGGATCACTTGACCCCAGGTGGTCAAGGCTGCAGTGAGCCATGATCACGTCACTGCACTCCAGTCTGGGTGACAGAGTGAGACCCTGTCTCTAAAGGAAAAAAAAAAAAAGATCAGAGAAGAAATAAATGAAATTGAAATGAAGAAAACAATATAAAAAATCAACGAGGCAGGTAAAGTGGCTCATGCCTGTAGTCCCATCACATATGGAGGCCAAGGAGGGTGAATCCCTTGAGCCCAGGAGTTTGAGAGGAGACTGGGCACCATGGTAAAAACCTGCCTCTATAAGAAATATGAAAATAAAAAAATTAGCCAGATGTGGTGACATGTGCCTGTAGTCACAGCTACTCAGGAGGCTGAGGTGAGAGGATCGCTTGAGCCCAAGAGGTCAAAGCTGCATCGAGTCAAAATGTCACCCATGCACTCCAGCCTGGGAGACAAAAATGAGACCCTGTGTCAGAAAAAAATAAAGTACAATAAAAAATATGTAATAAAATAAACAAAATGAATAGTTTTTAAAAAAGTAAGCAAACTGACAAACCTTAACCAGACTAAGTAAGAAAAAAAGAGAGATGACTCAAATAAAATTAGAGATGAAAAAGGACACATTACAACTGATACTGCAGAAATTCAAAGGATCATTAGAAACCTAGAATAAATGGAAAATGGATAAATTTCCAGACACATATAACCTATCTGTAATTGAATCATGAAAAAAATCCAAAACCTAAACAGATCAATAACAAGTAATAAGATTAAAGCTGTAATAAAAAGTCTCCCGGCAAAGAAAAGCCCAGGACCGGATGGCTTGACTGCTGAATTTCACCAAACATCGAAAGAAGTAAAACCAATCCTACTGAAAGTATTCAGAAAAATAGAAGAAGGAATATTTTCCACGCATTCTATGATGCCAGTATTACGCTAATACCAAAACCAGACAAAGACACACACACACACACACACACACACACACACACACACACACACACAGACTACAGGCCAACATTTCCGATGAAAATTGATGCAAAACTCCTCAACAAAATACCAGCAAACCTAATTCAACAATACATTACAAAGATCATTCATCACAACAAAGTGGGATCTATCCCTGAGATGCAAGCATGGCTCAACATACACAATAAATGTGATACATCATTGATTGTATACAACAGAATAAAGGACAAAAACCATATGATCATTTCAATTTGATGCTGAAAAGGCATTTGATAAAATTCAACATCCTTTCATAATAAAAACTCTCCAAATAATGGGTATAAAAGGAACATATCTCAACACAATAAAAGTCATATATGACAGACCTACAGCTAGTATCATACCAAATGGGGAAAACTGAAAGCCTTTCCTCTATCTGGAACACAACAAAGATGTTCACTTTCCCCACTGTTATTCAGCACAGTATTGGAGGTCCTACTTAGGGCAATAAAACAAGAGAAAGAAATACAGGGCATAAATATTAAAAAGAAAGAAGTCAAATTATCCTTGTTTGCAGATGATACGATCATATATTTGGAAAAACCTAAAGATTTCATTAAAAAACTGTTAGAACTCTTGAACAAATTTGTTAAAGTTGCAGGATACAAAGTCAATATATAAAAATTAGTAACATTTCCATATGCCAACAGAGAACAATATGAAAAAGAAATTTAAAAA
Source organism: Homo sapiens (assembly GCF_000001405.40). NCBI lineage: Eukaryota > Metazoa > Chordata > Mammalia > Primates > Hominidae > Homo > Homo sapiens. The sequence goes on from NC_000006.12 coordinate 121,368,689, forward strand.
GCAATCCCATTTACAATAATTAAAAATAAAATTAAATATCTAGAAATTAACCAGGGAAGTGAAAGTTCTCTACAAAGAAAACTAAAACACATTGATGTAAGAAATTGAATAAGAAGAGACTTAAATGTTCCCGCCTGCCGGCTCTGGAGAGAACAGTGCATCTTCCAGCACAGTGCTCAAGCTCTGCTAAGGGATAGATTGCCTCCACAAGTGGGTCCCTGACCCCCATGCCTCCTGACTGGGAGACACCTCTCAGCAGGGGTCTACAGACACCTCATACAGGAGAGCTCTGGCTGACATCTGGCAGGGGTGCCCCACTGGGATGAAGCTTCCAAAAGAAGGATCAGGCAGCATAATTTGCTGTTCTGCAGCCTCCACTGGTGATACCCAGGAAAACAGGGTCTGGAGTGGATCTCCAGCAAACTCCAGCAGACCTGCAGCAGAGGGGCCTGACTGTTAGAAGGAAAACTAACAAATGGAAAGGAATAGCGTCAACATCAACAAAAAGGACATCCACAAAGAAACCCCATCTGATGGTCACCAACATCAAAGACCAAAGGTAGATAAATCCATGAAGATAAGGAAAAACCAGCACAAAAAGGCTGAAAATTCCAATTACCAGAATGCCTCTTCTCCTCCAAAGGATCACAACTCCTCTCTAGCAAGGGAACAAAACTGGATGGAGAATGAGTGAAAAATTAACAAAAGTAGGCTTCAGAAGGTAGGTAATAACAAACTCCATTGAGGTAAAGGAGCATGTTCAAACTCAATGCAAAGATGCTTAGAATCATGATACTAGGTTACAAGAGCTGCAAACTAGAATAACCAGTTTAGAGAAGAACACAAATGACCTAATGGAGCTGAAAATCATAGCACAAGAACTTCGTGAAGCATACACAAGTATCAATAGCCGAATCAATCAAGCAAAAGAAGGGATATCAGAGATTGAAAATCAACTTAAGAAATAATGTGTGAAGACAAGATTAGAGAAAAAATAATGAAAAGAAACAAACAAATCCTCCAAGAAATATAGGACGATATGAAAAGACCAAACCTATGTTTGATTGGTGTGCCTGAAAGTGACGAGGAGAATGGAACCAAGTTGGAAAACACTCTTCAAAATATTATCCAGGAGAACTTCCCCAACCTAGCAAGACGGGCCAACATTCAAATTCAGGAAATACAGAGAACACCAAAAGATATTCCTCAAGAAGAGCAACCCCAAGACACATAATCGTCAGATTCACCAAGATTGAAATTAAGGAAAAAATGTTAAGGGCAGCCAGAGAGAAAGGTCAGGTTACACACAAAAGGAAGCCCACCAGACTAATAGCAGATCTCTCTTCAGAAACACTACAAGCCAGTAGAGAGTGGAGGCCAATATTCAACATTCTTGAAGAAAAGAATTTTCAACCAAGAATTTCACATCCAGCCAAACTAAACTTCATAAGTGAAGAAGAAATAAAATCCTTTACAGACAAGCAAATGCTGAGAGACTTTGTCACCACCAGGCCTGCCTTACAAGAGCTCCTAAAGGAAGCAGTAAATATGGAAAGGCACAACCAGTACCAGCCACTGCAAAAAAATACCAAATTGTAAGGACCACTCTATGAAGAAACTTCATCAACTAACAGGCAAAATAACCAGCTAGCATCATAATGACAGGATCAAATTCACACATAACAATATTAACCTTAAATGTAAATGGGCTAAATGCCCCAATTATAAGACATTTGATAGAGTCAAATGTCAAATTGGATAGAGTCAAGACCCATTGGTGTGCTGTATGCAGGAGACCCATCTCACGTGCAAAGACACACACATAGGCTCAAAATAAAAGGATGGAGAAAAGTAAATGGAAAGCAAAAAAAAAAAACAAACAAAAAACAGATGTTGCAATCCTAGTCTCTAATAAAACAGACTTTAAACCAACAAAGATCAAAAGAGACAAAGAACACCATTACATAATGGTAAAGGGATCAATGCAACAAGAAGAGCTAACTATCCTAAATATATATATATACCCAATACAGGAGCACCCAGATTCATAAAGCAAGTTCTTAGAGACCTAGGAAGAGACTTACACTCCCACACAATAATAGAGGGAGACTTTAATACCACACTGTCATTATTACACAGATCAACAAGACAGAAAATTAACAAGGATATTCAGGACTTGAACTCAGCTCTGGACCAAGCCAACCTAATAGACATCTACAGAATTCTTCATCTCAAATAAACAGAATATGCATTCTTCTCAGCACCACATCGCACTTATTCTAAAATTGACCACGTAATTGGAGGTAAAACACTCCTCAGCAAATGCAAAAGAACAGAAATCATAACCAACAGTCTCTCAGACCACAGTGCAATCAAATTAGAACTCAGGATTAAGAAACTCACTCAAAACTGCACAACTATGTGGAAACTGAACAACCTGCTCCTGAATGATTACTGGGTAAATAACGAAATTAAGGTAGATTAAAGAAGTTTTTTGAAACCAAGGAGAACAAAGATACAACATACCAGAAACTCTGGGACACATTTAAAGCAGTGTTTAGAGGGAAATTTATAGCACTAAATGCCTACAGGAGAAACAGGAAAGATCTAAAATCAACACCCTAACATCACAATTGAAAGAACTAGAGAAGCAAGAGCAAACAAATTCAAAAGTTAGCAGAAGACAAAAAATAACTAAGATCAGAACAGAACTGAAAAATAGAAAGAGACATGAAAAACCTTTCAAAAAATCAATGAATCAAGGAGGTGGGTTTTTGAAAAGATTAACAAAAGAGCTAGACCACTAGCCAGACTAATAAAGAAGAAAAGAGAGAAGAATCAAATAGACACACACAAAAAAATAATAAAGAGGAGATCACCACTGATCCCACAGAAATACAAACTACTATCAGAGAATACTGTAAACACCTCTACACAAATAAACTAGGAAATCTATAAGAAATGGATAAATTCCTGGACAAATACACCCTCCCAAAACTCAACAAGGAAGAAGTCGAATCCCTGAATAGACCCATAACAAGTTCTAAAATTGAGGCAGTAATTAATAGCCTACCAACCAAAAAAAAAGCCCAGGACCAGACAGATTCACAGCCAAGTACTACCAGAGGTACAAAGGGGAGCTGGTAACATTCCTTCTGAAACTATTGCAAACAATAGAAAAAGAGGGACTCCTGCATAACTCATTTTATGAGGCCAGCATCATCCTGATAGCAAAACCTGGCGGAGACACAACAAAAAAAGAAAATTTCAGGCCAATATCCCTGATGAACATCAATGCAAAAATCCTCAATAAAATACTGGCAAACTGAATCCAGCAGCACATCAAAAAGCTTATCCACCATAATCAAGTCAGCTTCATCCCTGGGATGCAAGGCTGGTTCAACATATGCAAACTATTAAACGTAATCCATCACATAAACAGACCCAGTGACAATAACCACATGATTATCTCAATAGATGCAGAAAAGGCCTTCGATAAAATTCAACATCCCTTCATGCTAAAAACTCTCAATAAACTAGGTATTGATGGAATGTATCTCAAAATAATAAGAGCTATCTATGACAAACCCACAGCAAATATCATACTGAATGGGCCAAAGCTGGAAGCATTCCCTTTGAAAACCTGCACAAGACAAGGATGCTGTCTCTCACCCCTCCTATTCAACATAGTATTGGAAGTTCTAGCCAGGACAATCAGGCAACAGAAGGAAATAAAGGGGATTCAATTAGGAAAAGAGGAAGTCAAATTGTCTCTGTTTGCAGATAACATGATTGTATATTTAGAAAACCCCATGGTCTTGGCCCAAAATCTTCTTAAGCTGATAAGCAACTTCAGCAAAGTCTCAGTATACAAAATCAATGTGCAAAAATCACTAGCATTCCTATACACCAATAATAGACAAACAGAGAGCCAAATCATAAATGAACTCCCATTCACAGTTGCTACAAAGAGAATAAAATACCTAGGAACACAAATTACAAGGTATGTGAAGGACTTCTTCAAGGAGAACTACAAAGCACTACTCAAGGAAATAAGAGAGGACACAAACGAATGGAAAAATATTCCATGCTTATAGATAGGAAGAATCAGTATCATGAAAATGGCCATACTGCCCAAAGTAATTGATAGATTCAATGCCATCCCCATCAAGCTACCATTCACTTTCTTCACAGAATTAGAAAAAAACTACTTTAAATTTCATATGAAACCAAAAAAAGAGCCCGTAAAGTCAAGACAATCCTAAGCAAAAAGAACAAAGCTGGAGGCATCATGCTATCTGACTTCAAACTACACTACAAGGCTACAGTAACCGAAACAGCATGGTACTGGTACCAAAACAGATACATAGACCAATGGAACAGAACAGAGGCCTCAGGAATAACACCACACGTCTATAACCATCTGATCTTTGACAAACCTGACAAAAACAAGCAATGGGGAAAGAATTCCCTATTTAATAAATGGTGGTGGGAAAACTGGCTAGCCATATGCAGAAAACTGAAACTGGACCCCTTCCTTATGCAAAAGTTAACTTATGCAAAAGTTAACTCAAGATGGATTAAAGACTTAAACATAAGACCTAAAACCATAAAAACCCTAGAAGAAAACCTAAGCAATACTATTCAGGACATAGGCATGTGAAAAGACTTCATGACTAAAACACTAAAAGCAATGGCAACAAGAGACAAAATTGACAAATGGGATCCAATAAAACTAAACAGCTTCTGCACAGCAAAATAAACTAACATCAGAGTGAACAGGAAACCTACAGAATGGGAGAAAATTTATGCAATCTACCCATCTGACAAAGGGCTACTATCCAGAATCTACAAAGTACTTAAACAAATTTACAAGAAAAAAACAAACAACCCCATCAAACAGTGGGTAAAGGATATGAAAAGACACTTCTCAAAAGAAGACATTTATGCAGCCAACGGACACATGAAAAAATGCTCATCATCACCGGCCATCAGAGAAATGCAAATGAAAACCACAAGATACCATCTCACGCCAGTTAGAATGGTGATCATTAAAAAGTCAGGAAACAGTCGGGCTTGCTGGCTCACACCTGTAATTCCAGCACTTTGGGAGGCCAAGGCAGGTGGATCACTAGGTCAAGAGTTCAAGACCAGCCTGGCCAAGATGGTGAAACCCTGTGTTTTCTAAAAATACAAAAAGTAACTGGGTGTGGTGCCGGGCACCTGTAATCCCAGCTACTTGGGAGGCTGAGGCAGAGAATTGCTTGAACTGGGAGGCGGAGTTTGCAGTGAACTGAGATTGTACCACTGCACTCCAGCCTGGGTGACAGAGTGAGGCTTCATCTCAAAAAAAAAAAAAAGGAAACAACAGATGCTGGAGAGGATGTGGAGAAATAGGAACACTTTTACACAGTTGGTGGGAGTGTAAATTAGTTCAACCATTTTGGAAGACAATGTGGTGATTCCTCAAGGATCCAGAACCACTAGAACCAGAAATACCATTTGACTAAGCAATCCCATTATTTGTTATCTACCCAAAGGATTATAAATCATTCTACTATAAAGACACATGCACACATATGTTTATTGCAGCACTTTTCACAATAGCAAAGACTTGGAACCAACCCAAATGCCCATCAATGATAGACTGGATAAAGAAAATGTGGCACATATACACCATGGAATACTATGCAGCCATAAAAAAGGATGAGTTCATGTCCTTTGCAGGGACATGGATGAAGCTGGAAACCATCATTCTCATCAAACTAACACAAGATCAGAAAACCAAACACCACATGTTCTCACTCATAAGTGGTAGTTGAACAATGAGAACACATGGACACAGGGAGGGGAACATCACACACTGGGGCCTGTCAGGGGATGCGGAGCCTAGTGAAGGGAAAACATTAGGAAAAATGTCTAATGTAGATGACGGGTTGATGGGTGCAGCAAACCACCATGGCACATGTATACCTATGTAACAAACCTGCACATTCTGCACATGTATCCCAGAACTGAAAGTATAATAAAAAATAAATAAATAATAATGATGACGGAAAAAATAATATGTTGGCTGTAAATACTTGCCAAAATGCTTTAATCCCAATGCCTTTTGCTCTCCAAAAGCAACCTCAAGACATATATTTTGGTTTTTCACCCCTCAAAATGGATAAGCTCTATTTTAAGGCATTATTAGCTTTATTTATTATTAGCTCTTTCTCTCACGTATTTTCAAAATTATTAGCTTTATATTTATGTTTAAAAGAACTTTCTTTAATAATTATCATTTCAAAAATAAATTTAAGAAGAAATTGAATAAGACATCAAAAAATGGAAAAATATTACATGTTCATGGATTGGAAGAATAAATATTGTTAAAATGCTCATACTAGCCAAAGCAATCTATAAATTCAATGCAGTTCCTATCAAAATACCAGTGACATTCTTCAGAGAAATTTAAAAACATTCAACAAATTATATGGATCCACAAAGGGCTCAGAATAGCCAAAGAGCTATCCTTAGCAAAAAGAACAAAACTGGAGGAATCACATTACCTGAATTCAATTATACTACAGAGCTATAGCAACTGAAACAGCATGGTATTGGCATAACAACAGACACATAGACTTGTGAAACAGTATAGAGAATGCAGAAACAAATTTATACATGTACAGTTAACTCATTTTCAATGAAGTTGTGAAAAATATGCATTTGGGAAAAAAACAGTCTCTTCAATAAATGGTGCTGGAAAAAGTGGATATCCATGTGCAGAAGAATGAAACTAGACACTTATCTCTTGTAACATACAAAAATCAAATCAAAATGGATTAAAATCTTAACTTGAAAACCTCAAACTATGAAACTACTACAAGAAAACATTGAGGAAACTCCCTATGACATTGGATTGGGCAAAGATTTCCTGAGTAATACCCCACAAGCACAAACAACTGATGCAAAAATGGACAAATGGAATCACTTCAAGTTAAAAAGCTTCTGCACAGCAGAAGAAACAGTTAACACAGTGAAGAATGAATCCACAGAATCAGAGAAAATTATTTGCAAACTATCCATCTGACAAGAGATTAATAACCAAAATATGTAAGGAACTTAAACAACTATTTAGGAAAAAATTTAATAATCTGATTTTAAAATGGCCAAAAGATCTGAATAGACATTTTTCAGAAAAAGACATACAGGCCATTCGCAGTGGCTCACACCTGTAATCCCAGCACTTTGGGAGGCCAAGACAGGTAGATTGCTTGAGCTCAGGAGTTCCAGACCAGCCTGGGCAACACGGTGAAACCTTGTCTCCACCAAAAATACAAAAAAATAGCTGGGAATGATTGTGCGTACCTGTAGTCCCAGCTGCTCGAGAGGCTCAGGTGGGAGATCACTTGAGCCCAGAAGGTGGAGGCTGCCATGAGCCAAGATTGTGCCACTGCACTCCAGCCTAGGTGACAGAGTGAGACCACATCTCAAAAAAAAAAAAAAAGACATACAAATGGCAAACAGGCATATGAAAGGTGCTCAACATCATTGATTATCAAAGAAATGCAGATCAAAGCTACAATGAGATATCCTCTCAGCCCAGTTAAAATGGCTTTATATCCAAAGTGTGAACCCAAAAGTATCTGAGATAGGTCTCAATCAATTTAAAAACGTATTTGCCAAGGTTAAGGATGTACCTGTGACACAGCCTCAGGAGGTCCTGATGACTTGGGCCCAAGGTGGTTGGGGTACAGCTTGATTGTATACGTTTCAGGGATGTGTGAGACATCAACCAATATGTATAAGAGGTATATTGGTTCAGTCCAGAAAGGTGGGACAACTTGAAAGGAGTGAGTGTTGCGGGGGTGGGGGGGCTCACATTTCTTACATGTGAGAGAAGGATAGAGGATTAGTCACATGCCTCAGTCTGGGTTAGTGAATCTGCATTTTTACATAAACAGTAGGACAGAGGAAGCAATCAAATACGCATTTGTCGCAGGTGAGGATGACTTTGAGTTCTGTCCTTTTTCCTGAACCTGTGAAGATAAGCTATCAATTTATATTGCCAAGGTGGAATTCAGCAGAACTGTTTTAGGGTAAAGATATTGAGGCCCACAGGAATTTCCTTGTGGGCAAATTTTAAGGGAGGTATGTAGCTTTTTAAAAAAAATATTCGTACCTACCTTATTTAGGAATAAAATGGTAGGCAGATTTGCCTGATGCAGTTCCCAGCTTGACTTTTCCCATTGGCTCAGTGATTTGGAGGGTCCTGAGGTTTATTTTCCTTTCACGAAAGACAGGCAATAACATATGTTGGAGAGAATGTGGAGAAAAGGGAACCCTCATATCCTCATACTGGCAAGAATGTAAATTAGCACAACCACGATGAAGAACGTTTGGAGATTCCTCAAAAAACTAAAAATAGAGCCATTGCATCCAGTATATTTAGACCTTTGATCAATCTTGGATGTAGTTTTATGTATGGGGTAAGATAGAGGTCCTGTTGTTCTGGGCTGGGCATTTTTTTCCCAGATGAATAACCCATCATGTTAACATAATTTATTAAATAATCTTTCACATAATTAATATAAAATAATTATATTTTCTGTATATCCTTGTGTCTATTTCCAATTTGGTTACACTGGATTTTATCACAAGTTTTAATGTCTAGTAAAGCAATTTCCTCATCATTGAATTTTTAAATTTATATTGTGTGCTACTGACTATTTTTCCATTTGACTTTTAAATAAAACTATTATTTTTATGTGGAGAATTCCAGGAGAGGGAGGAATGCTTTCTGCATGCCTTTTAGGAGGCCATGGTGGATCTCAGCCCCATCGGTCACAACAGCAACAGCAATCACCTTATCAGCCTTATTTCTATCATCTCTTCCTCTTTTCTTGTCTTGTTTTGCACACGATTGCACCCCTACTTTCTGCCAGATAAACTCTCTGCTGCCAAGACTTGTCTCAGGCCCTTATTTTGGAGCACTTAAAAACTAGGATATTTTATTTTTTTAATAAAATAAAAACATTTCACAGCTTTGATTTATCCTATGAGAGCAGCTTTAGCTGCTATGAGGTGTACTCTCTTTCAATAATTTCTACATAATTAGTAATTGGTAATTTTAGCTCCTCTTTTCATCAGATGAATATTTTGGAGAGTTTTTATTTATTTAAAAGTAGCTAAGCATTCTGGAATTGTAATGAAAGAATGTAGTCTATAAAAATCTCTATTTTAAAAAAGTATTATATTTGTTATTATTAATATTATTTTTGATTGACCAATCATAATTGCATATGTTTATGGGGTACTATGTGATGTTTTGATATATGTGTACAATGTGAAATGATTAAATCAGGCTCATTAACATATCCATCACCTCACTTACCAAATATATATATATATATATATATATATATATATATACATATATATGTTTCTTTTTTTGAGACAGGGTCTCACTCGTTGCCCAAGCTTGAGTTCAATGGTGTGATCTTGGCTTACTGCAGTCTCAACCTCCCAGGCTCAAGGAATCCTCTTTCCTCAGCCTCCTGAGTAGCTGGGACCACAGGCACATGCCATCATGCCTGGCTAAACCTATCATTTTCAATGATGAGACATTTTAAATGTACTGTTTTATTTTGAAATATACTATACATTGTTCTCTATAAAGTACATTATACATAATAGACCTCAAACCTATTTCTCCTACCTGAAACTTTGTACTCTTGGATCAACAACTCCCTATTCCTTCCTTTCCTACTGCCCCTCCTTTCCCAGTCTCTGGTAGCCATCATTCTACTCTCTGCTTCTATGAGTTCAACTTTATTAGATTCTACATGTAAGTGAGATCATGTGGCATTTGTTTTCTGCATTTTCTTTGGTATTTGGATTATTTTACTTAGAATAATATCCTCCAGATTTATCTATGTTGTCATAAATGACAGAATTTCACCCTAGTTTTAGACTTAATAGTATCTCATTGTGTATATATCTTACATTTTCTATGCATTCATCCATTGATGGACACTTAAGTTGATTCTACATCTTAGCTTTTGTGAATAATCATGCAATGAACATGGGAATGCAGGTATTCCTTTGACATATTCTTTTTTATTTAATGCTAGTTTTGTGAAGCAGTGGGAGTGGAGAAGGAACAAAGAAATGTGTAACTAGTTTTGATCAATTAGTTGTGAACACCACTGCATTCAGATCAGCCTCCTTCAACATATTCATTTCAATTTCTTTGACTGTATACCCAAAAGTGTAATTACTGTACCATATGGTAGTTCAATTTTTAGTTTTTTGAGGAACCTCCATACCGTTTTCCATAATGACTGTACTAATTTACATTCCCACCAGCAATATACAAGAGTTTTGTATTCTCCACATCTTCTCCAACATTTATCTTTCATTATTTTTATAAAAGCCATTCTAATGAGTGTGAGATGATATCTCATTGTGATTTTACTATAATTCATGTTTCTCTGATGATTACTGATACTGAGCATTTTTTTTCATGTACCTATTGGCCATTTGTATATCTTCTTTTGAAAAATGTGTATTCAGGTCCTTTGTCTATTTTTAATTAGGTTATTTGTTTTCTGTCTATTGAGTTGTTTTTTTACTTCTTTATATATTTTGGATATTAACTCCTTATTAGATGTATGGTTGAAAATATTTCCTTCCATTCTGTGGGTTGTCTCTTCACTGTGTTAATTGTTTCCTTTGCTGGGCAGAAGTTTTTTAGTTTGAGCCCATCCCATTTTTTTATTTTATTTTATTTTTAGAGACAGGGTCTCACTCTGCCATCTAGGCTAAAGTGCAGTGGCATAATCATAGCTCACTGTAGCCACAGACTCTTGAGCTCAAGTGATCCTCCCACTTCATCCTTTCAAGAAGCTGGGACTTTAGATGTGTGCCACCATGCCTAGCTAATGTTTTAATTTTTTTGTAGGCACAGGGCCTCACTATGTTGCCCAGGCTGGTCTCAAACTCCTGGCCTCAAACGATCCTCCTGCTTTGGCCTCCAAAGAACTGGGATTACAGGTGTGAGCCACCCCACCTGGCCCTGTCTATTTTTGCTTTTGTTGCCTACGTTTTTAGGGTCATATCAAAAAAGTCATTGCCCAAACTGTGACCTGCAGGCCAAATCTGGCCTGCCTCCAGTTTTTATGTGACTCTCACACTAAGAATGGTTTTTACCTTTTATATGGTTGGAGATAAAAAGCAAAAGAAGAAAATTATTTTGTGAAACATAAAAATTATAGAAAATTCAAATTTCAGTGTCCATCAATAAAGCCTTAGTGGAACACACACACACACGTGCACGCACACACACACACACACGTTATTGAACACACACACACACACACACACACACACACTTTATTGTCCAGAAAAATGTCATGGAAATTTTCCACTATGTTTTCTTCTAGTGGCTTAACAGTTTCAGGTCTTATATGTGTTTAAGTCTTTAATTCATTTTGAGTTGATTTTTTTATATGGTGTAAGGCAAGAGTCTAACTTCATTATTCTGCATGTGGATATCCAGTTTTCTCAAAACCATCTGTTGAAGAGACTGACATTTCCCCACTGTGAGTTATTGGCATGTTTGTCAAAAATCAATTGACCATAAATGCATAGGTTTATTTCTGAATTTTCTATACTGTTTCATTGGTTGATATGTCTGCTTTTTTTGCCAGTACTATCCTCCTCTGATTTTAATCACTTTATAATACGTTTTGAAATCAGAAAATATATGGCTAGGCACAGTGGCTCACGCCTGTAATCCCAGCACTTTGGGAGGCCGAGGTGGGTGGATCACTTCAGGTCAGGAGTTTGAGACCAGCCTGGCTAACATGGTGAAACCCTATCTCTACTAAAAATACAAAAAATTAGCCACGCCTGGTGGCGAGTGCCTGTAATCCTAGCTACTCTGGAGGCTGAGGTGGGAGAATCGCTGGAACCCGGGAGGCGGAGGTTGCAGTGAGCTGAGATCGCCCTACTGCACTCTAGCCTGGGAAACGGAGTGAGACTCTGTCTCAAAAAAAAAAAAAAAAAGAAAGAAATCAGAAAATATGATTCCTCCACCTTTGTTCTGACTGGGAAGAGTAACAAAATTATTTCTGGAATTCTAATTGTTATTATGTTCTGACTCTTTTTTTTTTTTTTTGAGACAGAATCTCACTCTGTCACCCAGGCTGGAGTGCAGTGGCGCGATCTCAGCTCACTGCAACCTCCGCCTCCCAGGTTCAAGCGATTCTCCTGCCTCAGCCTCCCAAGTTGCTGAGATTACAGGCACGTGCCACCATGCCCAGCTAATTTTTGTATTTTTAGTAGAGACAGGGTTTCACCAGATTGGTCAGGCTGGTCTTGAACTCCTGACCTTGTGATCTGCCCACCTCGGCCTCCCAAAGTGCTGGGATTACAGACGTGAGCCACCGCACCCAGCCCTATGTTCTGACTCTTGAAATGTTCCCAAGTTTCTTCTCTTTACCTCATGATTTCTGTCTTTTTGTGTTTTGTTTTGCATTTGTTTTCTTTAATGTAATCTCCAAAACTATCAATTTAATTTTCAGCAACAACCATTCTCTTTGTTTATTTAGTCTAATGATATTTATTTTTGAAAATCGTGTTTCATAATTCCAGCAAGTCTTTTTATGTATGTGTATATACTGTAAGTTTGTCACAAAAAGTCCTCATTGGTTCTTTGTAAAGGTTTATTCTGGATAACTCCGTGTACTCTCCCTTCCTGTTCTCTTTCCGCCATCTTTCTGCACTGCCACAACGGTGTGCATAAATGTCCTGGCTGATGATCTCAAGAGCATCAACAATGCTGAAAAGAGAGGCAAATGCTAGGTTCTTATTAGGCCGTGCTCCAAAGTTATTGTCTGATTCCTAACTGTGATGATGAAGCATGGTTACATTGACAAATTTAAAGTCACTGATGATCACAGAGCAGGGATAATTGTTGTGAACCTCACAGGAAGTCTAAACTAGTGTGGAGTGATCGGCCCCAAATTTGATATGCAACTCAAAGATCTAGAAAAATGGCAGAATAATTTGCTTCCATCCTGCTAGTTTAGGTTTGTTGTACTGACAACCTCAGCTGGCATCATGGACCACAAAGAATCAGGATGAAAACACACAGGAGGGAAGATCCTGGGAATTTTTTCTAGAGGTGTAATCCATATTTACAAAGAAAATTCCTCATGAGAAAAAAAGATTTATTCTGCCTCTCCCGAAAATTTTAGTTCAACGACATCCATCAGGTTTTAGCTGTTCTTCATCTTTCTGGTTACCAAACCTGTTTAAGTCTTTAGCACTTTTCCTTTGCTTGCTCACATCTGATCTCCCTCAGCTATTTGGTCAGTCTGTTAGGCTCTTTCAGAGACAAACCAGCAAGTGATAGAAAGTACAAAAGTTGGCTGGGCGCAGTGGCTCACGCCTGTAATCCCAGCACTTTGGGAGGCCGTGATGGGTGAATCATGAGGTCAGAAGTTCGAGACCAGACTGGCCAACGTAGTGAAACTCTGTCTCTACTAAAAATACAAAAAAATTAGCCAGGCGTGGTGGCAGGCACCTGTAATCCCAGCTACTAAGGAAGCTGAGGCAGGAGAATCGCTTGAACCTGAGAGGCGGAGGTTGCGGTGAACTGAGATCACGCCATTGAACTCCAGCCCGGGCAACAGTGCAAGACTCAGTCTCAAAAAAAAAAAAAAAAGAAAGAAAGAAAGAAAGTACAAAAGTTGATTTGTTTGTTCATTTTTACAATGTGCCAGTCTTTTCTTATATTACATCTCTGCTGATGCAAAAGAAAAGGACATCTTTTCTCTCTGGTCACACCAGATGCAAACAATAGCCATTTTCCAACCATAGGGACCACACACAAATCAGCCCAGTGGTTTATTTCCAACATTGCTGGGTTAGGTGTGTCTCCTAAGTCCATAGGTCATTGAAAAATACAGCCCTCCATATGGGAATTCAAAGATATGGTTGAACTGCCTCATGGAAAACTGGGCTTCGTGCCAAAGCTTGTAAAGACACAGGCTGCCTCGTCTCTTGCTGCTCCCTCAGATACTGCCTAGCACTAGGGAGAATGAATTCTTTTACCTGAACTCTAATGCACTGGACATATTTGCTCCTCCAACAGTATTGGTGTGACTGAAGAAAGGACAACAGGGCAGCCAGTGGTCCTGTTAAGAACTGTATCAAATCCACCAACAGTCACAGCCTCACTAATGTAATTTACCTCAGAGATTATTTGGACTAATCTAATCTCATGCCCTACAGCCCTGATTCATCTGCCTGGAAGTCTTTTCCCCCCTCTTACTTTTCTCACTTTCTTCAGGTCTCTGATTAAAAGTGACCTTCCAGAGAGACCTTCCCTATTCATTCTATATAAAATAGCAGAACCACATCCTTCTGTCCTCTTAACCGGCTTTATTTTTCTTTGCAGCCTCATTGTCTGTGTCCTTTTATTAGAATATAAAGAACAGGGGATTTCATGTTTGCTACTGATGTATCTCCATCACCTAAAACAGTGCCAGAAATGTTATTGATGCTCAAAATATAACTGTTGAGTGAAGAAATAAATGAGATTCTTGTGCAAATTGTGGACTCATATGCATCGTCTTGATTTGGAAATCTGGCTGTTTTTTTATTCCATATGTAGACAGAATAAGGAAAAAGAGAAAAGCCAGGATATGTGCTCAAGCTACTTTATATCTGAATGTTCCCATCATGGGCCATGTGAACATTTTTTAAAAATCAATCTTTTTTTATTTCCAAGGGGATAAAATAAGTTCGTGTGCACTCCCAGCCAAAGATGGCATATTGAACACATGTACCTGTTTTTACTTGCTCTTTAAAGCATTCTAAAGTGACAATAGAAGTTTTTGAGGGTATAAATTCACAAAAGGAAGCAGAATAGATACAGAGATTATAGTTATAACATTTCATAATCTAGCAATCAAATACATAAGAAGAAATGACTCAGCAAAACTGAGAAAAACTAATTTTAAAGTAGCAGAGGAAGAAGCCAATAGCTAAAGTGGTTTAAGTCACAGAATTGCCCAAATGCTCAGAAACTGGCTGTCCCAGATACTTGTAGAAATACGGATAATCCCAGCTATATCTTGAAAAAAAAAAACTGAGGATATAGTCTTTCAAGAAATAACCAGAGAACTTTAGACTTGAGAACTAGAGTTGGGGCAGGAAAAGTGCACTCAAAACAAAGATATTATACAAGTATATACGTAATCACAGCTAAGGCCACCCCTCTATCTTCCTCTCTCCTTGGTAGCCAGCCACAGTTCCCCAGGTCTTTACTCTCTGTGCAGCAAACAGATAGAGTCTTCTCTGAGAACTTGACTGGTCCAAAAAGAAAAATTAAGCATCCCAAACAGATCACCCTACAATAACATTCACAGTCCATATGCTATATTGTTCTACTGCTGACTTGGGTAGGTTGGGAGTCACATTTTTCTTTCTCTTTGTGGTTCTGAGTGAGAACTAGTCATGAGAAAAAAAAACTTACATGAAATTTAGGGGTGGAGATTAAGCAATGATCATTACTCTCTTAAGAATCCACAGTTAAATGTAATGCTGGAAAAGTGCAGAGTTGCCTCGCAGATTCCAGCTTATCTTCCCATATCCTCAACTCCATGTCATGTTCTTCTTCCCATCTATAGGCCCTGGTAACAAACAGCATTCCCAGGCTCATCACCAGATACCTGGTGGCAAACCTACAGTGATAGTACAGAGGTAAGAGTTTCCCACAGTCTCCCCCTTGACCTCTTGTTTGTAGTCCCGCTCCGGTGACTGGACATGCTAGGCTTCTTAGATTTCCCTAGAGACCCTGATTTTTCCACCCACTTCAGTGCCTGAAGAGGACTTGCTAATGACGTTTTATCTGATCTGCTAGTCCTTTGCTTCCCTAGCTCACCCCACAAATATTTAGGTCTAATTCCTATGACAAATCCCTTAATATTTATAGAGGTTCTGCTTCCCTATTGGACACTGACTAATAGTATCGACAAGCCATATTCAGGTGCTTAGTTTTCAGTCACCTTTTAAAATGCCCCCATGCTTTTTAATTGCCTTGACAAAGCTACTATCATGAATCTCCTTTGAGAGAAAAGAGACAATATTACAGACACACACAAAAAGACTGGATTTTATTATAAATAAATATTCAGCCAACAGAGAAAGCTCTTAGGAATTGAAAATCTAATAGCAAAAATGAAATAGTCATCAGAAGAACTGGAATATAATATTGAATCTATCTCCAGAAAATAGAAAAACAAATAAATAAAGAGATGAAGAAGACAAAAAATATTTTGGAAAATAGAAGACTAGTCCAGAGAACCTAATATTTGAAAACACAGAGTTTGACAAAGAGAAGAAAGAGGAAAGAGAAAGGAAGACATCAACAATGAAATAACTCAATCCAAGTTGTCAGAACTGAAGAGTTTCTAGATTAAAATGACTCATATACTGCCAAAAAAATTGATGAAAATAGACCCACATCAAGATACATCATTTGAAATTCCACAACACAGGAGAAAGACGATCCTAGCACCTTCTGGAGAATAAACACTGGTTACATGCAAAGAATTAGAAGTAAAAATGGGTTTAGGCTTCTACATTTCAATACCAGAGCAATGTCTTTAAATTTTGAAGGAAAAATCTTTCCCATATACAAATTCTATACCTTTCTACAAAGGAAGGTAGACTTTCACACCTGGTCAAGTAAGAATTTTACTCCCATTCATCCTTTTAGGGAGCTACTAGAAAAAAAAGTCAACCTAAGAGAGAAATTAAACCAAGAGGGAGAATTCATGGCTCAGAACAAAAAGGAGAGGTGGTAAGAATCTAGGTGATGCTAAAGGGAGAACATGTACTAGGCAAGGAGAGTACCCAGCAGATTGCAAAGTATAAAAACAACACACACACACACATATATATATACACACACACACACATCATATATATAGACACACACATACATACATATACACTCACACATATATACGTATGTGTACATACACATACATATATATGTACATACACATACAAATACATATATATGTACATACACATACATATACATATATATGGATTCAAAACAAAGATATTATGCAAGTATATACATAATCACAGCTGAGGCCACCCCTCTATTTTCCTCTCTCCTTGGTAGCCAGCCACAGTTCTCCAGGTCTTTACTCTCTGTGCAGCAAACAGATAGAGTCTTCTCTGAGAACTTGACTGGTCCAAAAAGAAAAATTAAGCATCCCAAACAGATCACCCTACAATAACATTCACAGTCCATATGCTATATTGTTCTACTGCTGACTTGGGTAGGTTGGGAGTTACATTTTTCTTTCTCTTTGTGGTTCTGAGTGAGAACTAGTCATGTATATATACATACATACATATATATGTACATACACATACATATATATGTGTGTGTCTATATATATGTGTGTGTGTGTCTATATATATGAAGGGCATAGATACTCTTTTTTCCACAATGCACAGATAATATTTTAAAAATAATAAAACCATTGCTTTTGTTGAAGAGATCCACAATATTGATGATGTATAGCAGAGATTGAATGATGTGTCAATGAACACATCATTGACATCAATTGTTATATCAAGCCTTGTGCCTCTCTTTTAACCAGTATCTTAGCCAAAGTATTCTGATTCCTGCAGAGATAATGCATAAAATACACACACACCCACACACCCCACCACACAAAAATTTGTGCAAATGACAGGATTTAGGTTGATATAATAATTGATACATAGATATAGATATACATAGAATATCCTCAAAAGTTAGATATTACAAAAAGCTGGTAATAGTTCTTGCAATCCTGAAAACAGGAAACGAGTTGACTGTGGGGGGAAGGAAATGTGAGGAAGACCAACTTTTCTCTTCTCAGTTACCATTTTTTTGCTTCTAAATTTTGTGTTGTGTGCATATTACCTATATATAATTAATAAAACATTCTCCTCCCCCCACAAACAAAGAATAACTTATTTATTTATTTATTTATTTATTTATTTATTTATTTATTTATTTTTTGAGGCAGAGTTTCACTCTTGTTGCCCAGGCTGGAATGCAATGGCAAGGTCTTGGCTCACTGCAATCTCTACCTCCCGGGTTCAAGTGATTCTCCTGCCTCAGTCTCCCAAGTAGCTGGGATTACAGGTGCCTGCTACCACACCCAGCTAACTTCTTATATTTTTAGTCGAGACAGGGTTTTACCATGTTGGGTAGGCTGGTCTCGAACTCCTGACCTCAGGTGATCCGCCCGCCTTGGCCTACCAAAGTGCTGGGATTACAGGCATGAGCCACCGCACCCAGCAGAATTACTTTAGACTTCTCAATGGCCAGTGGAAGATAGAAGGCCATGGAATAATGACTTTAAAATTCTAAAGAAAAATTGTTACAATCTAGAATTCCATATATAGTTATACAATTAGGGATTAGATAGAATAAAGATAATTAGATATTTTTAGGCAAAATAGCCTCAAAATATACTTCCTGGTACAATTTCTCAAAAAATTACTAGAAAATATGTTTTAACGATTGAACAAACAAACCTGGAAAAACAAAGATATAGTACATGGAAAATGGAAAATGGAAAATACAACCCATGAGAAGGACAAAGGGAATCCTCAGATGAAGGGCGATCCCCGGATAAACACTGTAAGCCAAGTCTAGCAGATATTCAACCTAGATTACAACAGCTCAGAAATCTCAGAGAGATTGCTTCCAAAAGTTGAAATTAGTAGGGCACCTGGTGGACCTGAAATCCAGAGACATCTCAGGATGTGTTATTCCTGGTCCTGCTTGCTCTCAGATCCATTTCCTGCCAATCCTCTGCTCTGCTCTGTGTTTCAGGGAGGGATGGTCCCTGCAGGTTGGCTTTCTCGGGCTTCTACGTTAGTACATTTCTCACTGAGACCACTGGTAACAGTTTGGAGAAGAGGAAAGGAAGGAAAACCAGGTTATTTTCTATGTCTCTTTCTTGGGCAACTCCCTTAGTATTATAAGTTTCCTTTTTTTTTTTTTTTTTCTTGAGGCAAACTGTCACTCTGCTGCCCAGGCTGGAGTGCAGTGGCTTGATCATGGCTCACTGCAGCCTCAACCTCCCAGCCTCAGGTAATCCCTCCACCCCAGCCTCCCGAGTAGCTGGGACAACAGGTGCACACTACCACACCCAGCTAACTTTTTGATTATCTGTAGAGATGGGGTTTCCCTGTGTTGCCCAGGCTGGTCTCAAACTTCTGGGCTCAAGCAATCCTCCTGCCTCATCCAAAGTGCTGGGATTATAGGTATGAGCCACCAGACCCAGCCTAAGTTACCATTTTGATTCCATCTATCGCTGGATATTAATGCTATGGCTTCAGACACCACTTTTCTCCTTTTTCTCTCAAACCTAGAGAGAAAAGCTACTGATAGCATTCTGGTGTTACCAAAGTGTTTAGTTACTTCACTGCCCCCTTTAACTTCTCGCCTCCTCCCTGCATTCCAGTTCCTTAAATTCAATTCCTTTGTTGTAAATTCTTTTTTTTTCCAGTTTGAGAAATTAATGTGTATCAGTGATATAAGTTTCAAATACATTTCCAATATTTCATGTGGCTTTTTCTTAGATGTCCTTGATTTACAATATGCAGGGATGTATTTATTTCTACAGTTGCATTTATCAATCTCTTCTATGGATTCTGATTTCCCCCACTGAGTTTATTAAAACAAATCCCCCTGCTTTTCCTTCTGGGTCCCTTCTCTGGACTTAACCTCCATGCTGAATACCCCCTCTCCTTCCATCCCTGCAGGTCTACTCTCCCTTTTCCCTGGATGTGCACAGGCCTTGGTCATCTTTGTACTCTCTGTTACTCCTTCCTGGAAAACCCTTCTACCCCTTATCTTCTAGCCTCCCAGGATCATCCTTCACATCTTACTTCAGAAGTGAAGTAGCTGTGCCTCCAGGAAGCCCTCCTGGACCACAACATGTACTGCCTTATTTACATTTACTGATTTACATCGTCATCCCCAGGGCTTGTGCAGCTGAGTCACCTCCATCATGTGTCATGTGGCCTTGTGAGCACCTGTTCCTAAATCCCCACTCCTTACCAGACTCTGAATTTCCTGGAGTGAGCCCCTGTCAGAGGCATGGTGATAGGTCAGTAAACTAGTGTCAGGTGAGTATATGGATAGAGAACAAGAACGTTCAGGGTCAACCTGGATGCTAAAGTGTCAGTAACAGCATTGAAGAGG
Source organism: Homo sapiens (assembly GCF_000001405.40). Taxonomy (NCBI): domain Eukaryota; kingdom Metazoa; phylum Chordata; class Mammalia; order Primates; family Hominidae; genus Homo; species Homo sapiens. Next base: position 121,388,976 of record NC_000006.12, read on the forward strand.
GTGTGGAATATGGGTCTAATCTGACATCCTATCTGGGTGTCCTGTGAAGCCTGAGACCTCTGTACTTTCTGGGGCCTCAAGCAAGCTGAACAGGGCCCATCAGTGCAGAGACCAAACTATATCACCCTTCACAGAGAAACTGGGGCCTGAGCCAGGCTCTGGGCTGCTGCTCACTCCTCTCTTTGGATCCATCCCATAGTCTCTGTTTCTCTCAGTCCATGTCTGTGTGTCTGAATCTGTCCCTCTATTTGCTCTTCTTCAGAGCTCTCCTTCTTTCTCAATGTCTTTGTCACTCTGACCCTCTGTCTCCTTCTCTCCAGAATCCATAACCCTGAAAGATGGTTTACCACTTCACTTCAGGTCCTGGAAGGACAGTCTCTGCACCTGGTCTGTGCCGTCAATAGCAACCCTCCAGCCAGACTGAGCTGGGTCCAGAAGAGCCTGACCCTGAGCCCCTCCCAATCCAACACTGGGGTGCTAGAGCTGCAAGCGCACCTCAGAGATGAAGGATAATTTACCTGCCAAGCTCAGAGCCGTCTCGGAACAGCAGAGCTCCTTGACACTCTCTCTGCAGAGTGAGTGTCAAGGGGCTACTTGCCAGACTGCAGCCTCCCACAAACTGCAGCTCCCAGGTGGCTAAGCAAGTGGCCCCCTGGGGTCACCCAGGGAAATAGCAGTGTGCTCAGCCCAGATTCAAAGACAGCTTTGAGGCCTGGACTGACACTGAGGCCAGAGCCCTCTGTTTACTGCTGGTCAGTCTTGAGAGGGGTTGAGGTGAGGCCTGGACTGACATGTTCTTACATCCAGAGATTCAGGAATGATCTGGAGAATAAATGTCCAAGTCTTATAGGAACAGGAAAAACAAGGAATTGTGGTTTAGCAGATGAATCTGCCTTGTCCCATTTTTCCCAGTAAAACCAGGGCCCATGGTGGAGGTGTTTATTTTGGCCATCGGGGAGGCAACTGTGAAGATCTCGTTTCTCTGTCTCTGCCTCATCTTCCTCAGGTGAGTGCTGCCCCAGGACCAAAGCAGGAGGTGTGGGGCAGGCAGGGACATGATGCTGAATTTGAGTCCTAGTGCTGGAGGGACCTGAACCAGTCAAGAGGGCCCAAGGCCAGCAGAAGTTGAGTTGTGGTGAGAATTCTGCATGGGCCAGTTGTTGTCTGTCCCCAACTCTGGGTGAGAGTCCAGCTCTCATCATGGAGATCTTGGAGGTTAGGCCTGCTTTCTCCACCTCAGTCCCTTCCAGCCCCTTAGCAGGGCACAGGGAGGTGAGTTTGCTGCTCTCTACACCCTGATCTGGCCACACTGACAGGCCCTGGGCCCTTTGCTTATTGTCAGGTCCTGCAGTAGGAAGGCAGCAAGGGCAGCAGCAGGTGTGGAGGCTGCAAACACCGTCACGGGCTAATCTCTCAGATGAGTGTCATGGAGGTCTCACCCTCCAACATCCCACTAGACACCTCTCCCTAGATGGCTCCTAGGATTGCTCCGCTCAACGTGGCCAAAGTTGAACCAACCATCTACCCCCCCCCAACCAACTTTCTCTGCTGGGACTCACATCTCACTGATGACACAGTGATCCCCTCTTTAAAGTCATAACAAGGGTGTGGTTCTCCACCTTGAGCTTCCTCCCTCCCTTCTCCACATCCCGTACATCACTAATTCTTGTCCCTCCTTCTCCTAAGCAGGGCTCACCTTGGAGCCCTTTTCTCCATCCTAATCCTGGTCATTCCTGGAGCCTCACCTCTTCTCTGGTCACTGAACCCTCCTGACTTCCTGCCTCTATCTCTCCCCAACACAGGCCTGCACACAGAGCTTCCAGATGCCTCTGTGTCCAGTTCCTCCACAGTCTGAATGGCCATGTTTCCTTTCCATGGCTGTAGAATGAGGTGCAAACACTACAGCACAGTCTGTTTCCTGCTAGACTCTGCTCCCAAATGGTACACAAATGGCCAAAGAGCACACGAGAAGATGCTCAACATCATTAGTCATTTGACAAATGCAGATCAAAACTGTAAAGGAGATGCTACTTCACACTAATTAAAACAGCTGTACTATTTTCCCATTGCTTCTGTAACAAATTACCCCAACATTAGTGGTTTGAAACACCACCACTTACTTCCTTACAGTTCTGCAGGTCAGAAGGATGAAACAGGACTCACTGGACTATAAAATCAAGGATGGTTCCTTCTGGATGCTTTTTGAAGCAAGGGTTTTATTGTTGGGTCTGCAGGCTATACAAGAAGCATAGTGGCTTCTGATTTTGCTTGACTTCTGGGAAGGCCTCAGGAAACTTAAAATCATGGCAAAAGGTGAAGGGGGAGCCAGCACTTCACACGGCTAGAGAAGGAGGAAAAGCTTTGTTGTAAATTCTTAAAATGGTTTCATTTTTCCTGGTGAGATGTATGGTTAAATTACAAAGTAATACCTAGAAATCTAAGAAAAACAATAAAATAAAATAATTAATAGCAAGGAACAAAATTTGCGTAAGAAAGAGAAGGTTCTCGGCTAGGTGCAGTGGCTCACACCTGTAATCCCAGGACTCTGGGAGGCTGAGGCAGGTGGATCACGAGGTCAGGAGTTCGCAAGCAGCCTGGCCAACATGGTGAAACCCTGTCTCTACTAAAAATACAAAAAATTAGCCAGGCGTGGTGGTGAATGCCTGTAATTCCAGCTACTTGGGAGGCTGAGGCAGGAGAATCACTTGAACCCAGGAGGCGGAGGTTGCAGTGAGCTGAGATCGCGCGATTGCGCTCCAGCCTGAGTGACAGAGCAAGACTCCATCCTGAAAAACAAGAAGAAAGCGAAGGCTCTCATTTTTTACTATATGGTTTAGCTCTTACTTTTATTTAAATGATCAAAGTAATATAAATAATTAATATTTGCTCTAACAAAGATTAGACTCACTTTTCATAACCCAAACCCTACAAAATGATAGACCAGATCATAGAAATTCTCCTATAGAGCAAAAAGATACTCCTATTTATAATAGGTAAGTCTTGCAGCTCTGTTGAGAAAAGGACAATATGATGTACAGGAAATTAAAGAAAAGCTCTTCCTTTCTAGTGGGAGGGGTAGAGGAAGGATGGTAGAGAGAAGAAAGAAAAGGGAGAAAGGAAGTATGGGACATATAACATGTGGATCCTGATATAGTTTTCTCCAGTCTTCTTTCCGAAAAACACAGGTATATTGGGTAAACTCCAAATGAGGAGATCTGGCCCCTTCTCTATCTTTGGGACTTTAGAAAGAGACTACCTCTCAAAACTGGAGAGAGAAGCATACCAAGTAAATTTGATAGCAACTCCGAGTTCTATCTGAGAGCTTGTCAGAAGTAGCTGCTGTAATTAGGATGAGAGTTCTTGGAGCTGGGGTTTGAAGGGCAGAACACTCTAACTGGAGTTAAGGAGTTCAGACAGTACTAAAGGGGTGCCAAGGTGGAACCAAATCAATGGAAAGAGAACACAAAGTCCTCACTGAGTTGAGGACAAAGAGAACACAAGCTCATGGCCATAATTGTCAGCAATAAATACCATCAATGGAGACAGCTCATAAATGAATTAAACCAGCCAGTGCACCCCCCCACCCACAAGGACCAGCCTAGGGTCAAGGAGACTCGTTTCCCTTAATTCTCTCAATAACCCCAACTAATAACTTCAACACACTGCAAAAGATGCTACTAGTGGTCCAGTAACCCCACTATTCTTCCAAAAGATGCTACTTGGGGAGGAACCCAGAAGGGAAGCAGAATCCTAAAAGAACCTGAGTAATATAAGATAAACAAAGTTACCTAAAGAGAAAAATTATGTTTGGATACTACTGCTTCATGCTAACTTGGGCTATAATTGGTTTATGTATATTTTCTGACTACCTAGAGATATCAAGAAGCACATTTGAGTTGTTGTAGTCCATTGGCAACCTCACAATACAGAAGTTTAGCTACAATGTGACAATTTTATTCATGAAAATACGGAAGCACAGAGGGCTTAAATGTCTTTGCCAAGGTTAAAGCTGAAAATAGAATGATGATTTCAACTACAGTTGACCTTAGTAAAAAGCGGATCCTCTTTACCAAATACGAGTACCTTGATCCCTCAGCAAAGGCTCTTTTTCCTGCACCTTCACTCTCCAGCCACTAGCTTTCTTTTCCTACCCCAACTTCTAGTTAATGATACAGCTCTTCATTCTGCTCATGACCATGTGTCTGATGTTTACTACAGATACAATTAGCTTAAAGTTTGCTTAAAGTTACAGATAAAAAAAGCTAACAAGTTACTTTACATCAGGCCATCTATAAAAACAAATGAAAGAGGAACTCACAGTCACTTGTAGACTCTGAACAGATGTCTTTGGCAAGAATAGAATGTAGAAAGGAGAAAATTCCATACCACGATGCCACTTGGACAGTTCTGAGAACACTGATACAGCTTCCCCATTTTTAAATTTATAATTACAGTAAAACTCTGGTGAAAATACAAGTCAAGAATATATCAGCTGACAAGAGAATATTTTCAACAAGAATGACCACTCAGACTTAGAATCTATGATGGTTAAAATAGAAAGGTAGCTAATTTGAGATGTGCAAGGATGCTGAACAGGAGGCATTCTACAGCACCCGTCACTTGACCTCCTTTCACAATTTGTGGTGCTCCTGGGTATCAAAGATCTAATTATTTTAATCATTATTCTTTCTGTGGGTTTTAAAATAATTAATTTGTTTCCTATTCCGTCTAAGCTCTCAAGAAAACTGTGGAGTCTTGTCATAATACTTTGTAATTTATAACTTTCCTTTAGTTATATTGTTTCCTGGTATTCTCACAATACTTCATGTGATAGATGATAGGGATGAGAAACTGTGGTTCCAAGAATTCAAGCAATTTCTGCAAGGCCCCATTACTGGAACATGAGGAGCTGGGATTCCAAACCCAGTCTTCCAACTGCAAATCCCTTTCCACTCTAATTCCTTCCTGAATTTATCTGATTTACAGCAGGGCAATGACTCCCAAACCTTAATTCTGCCCTAGGAAATTACTCATACTTTCTCTTTATCATCAAAAGGGAGTCTGTCAAGAATCAGTATCAAAAATTCTTAATCTGGTGAACTGTATTGCTCTTCCAAATTTAACTCTACACCAAATTATGCATAGAAAGAGATTCTTTGGCCTGCAGACCTGAGATTCTGAAATTTTTTATAGTGCCTAACAGACCTTTTTGATCCATCACATTTAGTCACATCAATCATATCAACTCAAAGAACACACTGTAGAGAAAATAATGTAACTTGATTGATGTGAACAGATGTGACATGGGACAATTAAGTTTCAGTTTAAGGACCCAAGGAGAAGAAACACCTGATGCTCTATAAGGTTCACTAAACAAAGACCCCATTGCTAACAGTATAAATAGGATTTATAGGCTTTGTTTTCCCAAGTGGAAGAGAGAAGAAATACAATATATGTTAATAGTATAATATGTGTTTATCTACCGTGCATGGGCAGAAAATTCCCTGCCTGTCTGAAATCTAATATTTCCTATGGCATTCTAGAGCCAAGTCTAACCTAGCAATGCTAATCAACAGGGAAAATAATACTGTATTTTAGGAAATAAATTGTCATTATTTTACATATGGATGAAAACATTTCAAAATAATTCAATATATTACTTTAAGAAAAATAAGGAATTTTAATAGACTTGAAATGTAAATAATCCTTTATTGGGAATATTTTTGAAGCATTTTAGATGGTGAATATTTAAAGGCATTTATATTGATACAAAGATTATAACCATTCCTTTCAAAGTCTTCTTTTTCTTGAGTTCCACTTCATAATTTAAGCCTAAGTAAAACAAAGATCAAAATATACTGGGAGTTGAGTCCATTCTCTACCTCCCACCGCAAGACCGAGTTGCAGTGGTTCCAATACCTAGCACCATGGCGTCCTTGAATAAAGTCTGCCTTACCACCTTAAGAAAATACACACACATAAGTGTGTATTGTTTTGTTTTTGTTTTGAGACGGAGTCTCACTCTGTCGCCCAGGCTGGAGTGCAGTGGCGCTATCTCGGCTCACTGCAAGCTCTGCCTCCTGGGTTCACGCCATTCTCCTGCCTCAGCCTTCCGAGTAGCAGGGACTACAGGCGCCCGCCACCACCCCGGCTAATTTTTTGTATTTTTTTAGTAGAGACGGGGTTTCACCATGTTAGCCAGGATGGTCTCAATCTCCTGACCTCATGATTCGCCCACCTGGGCCTCCCAAAGTGCAGGGATTATAGGCGTGAGCCACTGCGCCCGGCCATAAGTGTGTATTTTTTAATGGAAGAAACAGGAAAACATTTGGTAGTTTTATATATATATATATACATATACATACACACATATACATACCCACACATACACACATACTTATATACCTAATATATCTAATATAGGTATATATATCTACATATGAAAACAACAAAAAGAAGACATATAGGTATATGTATATATATATGTGTGTATATATACACTTGTGTGTATATATACACTTGTGTGTATATATCTACTTGAACGTATATATATATATATATATGCATATACATACTTAAAACTACCAAAGTTTTCCTGTTTTATTCCCCATTAAATACTGAGAAAAGTAACACTTGTATCTTATATATCTTATTAGAGAGAATAATAATTTATAATCAATCTAATGTTTTTAAAGCATATCTTTATTTTCTCTTTTTAACGTTTCTCTCTTTCTTATCTCTAATACTCTTTCCCTTTTTTTCAGTCATCTTTCTCAGGTTAAATAATCCTCTTTTTATTTGGCTTTCCTCCCTCTTTTATTTCCTCAATGATTTACGAAAGGAGCACCCAGGATTTCAGTGCCCAATTCTTAGATGCTGTGTTTCTGGCTCCTGGCGTGCACAGTTAGTGCTTCCTAGGAAGCTGGTGTACAGAAGCAAAGTGTGGAGACAGAGCGTGCCACCTCACAGCAGCTGTGTGGCCTTGGCCATAGACTGGATTCCTGTGCTTAAGGTTTCTTATCTTTATACTTGAGATAATCACAGTTACACTCCCCATTGAGTAATTAGTGAGAATTAAATGAGTTGATTCTAAAGAGCTTTATATATTTAGTAGTGGTAGTAGACGCTCAGTATGTTAGTTTATTTTCTTCTTAGTTGAGGGATTGAGTTTCATCTTTTTATAGAAGCTACAGTTTTTCTACCAATTTTGTTTCTTCCTCTCTCCATTAATGCCCAAGAAAGGAGATGAAGATGAAAATTGCAGGTTTCTTCTCTTTCCCCTCTCTAATTTTGTTCATATTACAAAGCATTTCAGCATGGTAGGGTATAGCATCATGCTGAATGCTTTGTAACATGAACAGAAATTAGTTTACAAGAATGAAAGAAGAATAAAGCAATTTATAGGGAAGTGAAAATCAGGGGGAGATGTAGAGAGGCATTATAATTACGAGACAAAAAATTTGTGTATGGGCCAGGAATGGTGGTTCACACATGTAATCCTAGCACTTTGGGAGGCTGAGGAAGGAGTTTGTTTGAGCCCAGGAGTTCAAGACTAGCCTGGGCAACATAGCGAGATTTCACTCTTCATAAAAATCAAAAAAATTAGCCAGGCTTGGTGACACATGTCTGTAGTTCCAGCTACTCGGGAAGCTGAGGTTAGAGGATTTCTTGAGCCCGGGAGGTCAAGGCTGCAGTGAGCTGTGATCATGCCACTGTACTCCAGCCTGGGCAACAGAGTGAGACCGCATCTCAAAAAAACAAAACAAAACAAAAACAAAGTTGTGTATGGCATCCCAGGCCCTTCACAGTAATCCTATCCAAATGCTCACGCTTCTGGCCTCTATTCCTGAGAAGCACTTGCTTTAGCCACATGAGAAGGCTTTTTATGCTCCAACTTTTCCTTTCCCCCTTTTCTACCTGTCAGAATTCTATTCACCCTTCAAGAACCATCTGAAATGTTACCACCCCTGGGAACCTCACCCCATTCCGGCAGATGAGATTAATAACGGCTTCTCTCTGGCTCCACAGCTTGGTTACCACACTAGCGCAGCCCCATTGTTTACTTGCCCATCTCCCCTGCTAACCTCTTTGAAGAAGGGATCTTTTTTTTTCTTTTTTCTTTTCTTTTTTTTTTTTTTAGACAGAGCCTCACAGTGTCACCCAGCCTGGAGTGCAGTGGCACGATCCTGGCTCACTGCAACCTCCGCCTTCTGGGGTTCAAGCAATTCTCCTGCCTCAGCCTCCTGAGTAGCTGAGATTACAGGCATGTGCCACCATGCCCGGCTAATTTTTGTATTTTTAGTAAAGATGGGTTTTCACCATGTTCACCAGGCTGGTCTCAAAACTGACCTTAAGTGATCCGCTCGCCTTGGCCTCCCAAAGTGCTGGAATTACAGGCATGAGTCACCACGCCCAGCCAAGAAGAGATCTTGTCTTATTAACTTAACCCCAGCGAGAAAACCCAGTACATTTTTTTCAACTTTTATTTTAGACTTAGAGGGTACACGTTCAGATTTGTTACCTGGGTATATTGTGTGATGCTGAGGTTTGGGGTATGAATGATCCTGTCACCCAGGTACTGAGCATAGTACTTGGTAGTTAGTTTAGTACATTTATATAGAGTTGATTTTGTAAAATATAGAGATCTCGATAATAATTCTCTGTAACAATCACATTGTTCTTAAAATGTATGTAAAATGATATTTCATGGATGTTGAGAGCTTAAGGCATTTTTTTTTAACTTGTCTGCATAGCACTCAATTTGTAAGATTCCCTCATGTAACCACAGCCTTGTTCAAATGTTTCATTGGAGGGGTGTTTTCAGGAGAAGAGGAGTGAAGGAAAAGGAATAAAGGAGGAGAAAATAAAGTTTAGAAACAATGTGGTGTCAGCTAAACAGCAGCTTTAGTTTGTTTCACTGGAGAAGATCTGGGACATGAATTACAACACAGATTTGAGTTACCTTGAGACAAGGAGGAGGACTTTTGGATTCCCACATCAGTCAGCCATTGGTCAAGGTTAAGACAGTGTAGCTTTCAAGGTAGAGGAGGCAGTTTCTGGGTGCCATTTGACCTAGGGAAATTCTCTGTAAAGAGAAACGGAAAACTTTGAGTTGTTACTAGCTAACACTCAAGAATCTTTGCAGAATGGGTGCTTCAGTTAATAAAAAGAATTTCCACAGAAGACCATGCCATCCTCTAATTAAAATTTCCTTGAATCCTAGAGCAAATGCTCAGAAAAATTAGAAGTGTTTCCATGTTTGAGGACAAATGTTAATATTAGACTATTCTAAGCTCTGAGTGTAGCCATGCATTTACTCATTTAATTATCCATGCACTCAGTTAATTAACATTTATTGAGCCCTGCTTACTATGACTCACTCCAGTAAACAATGCAACGATGTTTAAGCCAGATGCCCTTGAATGTGACAGTCTAATGGTTTTTAGTGATTTAGTATTAGAATCCATACTTTAACAAAAGAGCTGATCATCGGGTGGTGTATTAGGATTCTCTAGAGGGAAAGAACTAATAGAATAGATGTATATATAAAGGGGAGTTGATTAAGGAGTATTGATTCACACGATCACAAAGTGAGGTCCCACAATGGCTATCTGCAAGCCAGGGAGCAAGGAAGCTAGGCCAAGCCCCAAAGCTGAAGAACTTGGGGTCTGATGTTGGAGGGCAGGAAGCATTCAACACGGGAGAAAGATGTAGGCCAGAAGACTAAACCAGACTAGTCTTTCCATGTTCTTCTGCCTGCTTTTATTCTGGCTGTGCTGGCAGCTGATTAGACTGTGCCCACCCAGATTGAAGGTGGGTCTGCCTTTCTCAATCCACTGGGAAACACCTTCACAGACCATGCCTAGGAACAATACTTTTCATCCTTTAATCCAAACAAGTTGAAACTCAGGTAAGATGGATCCGTATACTATCCTTTCTGCAAACTGCCTCTGGAGATGTGAATGGATAACTTAGACTGAGTCCCAGCTGTACTAAAGGGTGGATCTGAGCCTATTAGGAGCACTAACCAGTGACCTACCTGTTGGTGTTAAGACCCTGGACCCATGACTATTACCTTTGCCAAATACAGAGTTCCTGGCAGTATAAGAGACTCTGCATAACATTACAGAATATGTGGGTCTTTGAATTCACGTGCTTTACAAGTTGTATATTATTAGTTTGGTTTTTTCCCTGTTATCTAGTATTAGTTTGAGTCTTCCTTCTTGATTAAACTTATTTTAGGTTGTGGTAGTCAGCATGCTTGCAAGGAAAGAAGTTGTTGCCAGCCTGCTAGAACATGCAATGAAAAGTGTTCCTTACAACCCTCAAAGTAAACTAGGTTCCATTATGAGCATGGATGTTTCTATTAGACAAGAAAATTCACATTTAAATCCCTTCCTTTAGGCTGGGCGTGGTGGCTCACGCCTCTAATCCCAGCACTTTGGAAGGCTGAGGCAAGCGGATCACCTGAGGTCAGGAGTTTGAGACTAGCCTGGACAACATGATGAAACCTGGTCTCTACTAAAAATACAAAAATTAGCCCGGCATGGTGGCGCTTGCCTGTAATCTCAGCTACTCAGGAGGCTGAGGCAGGAGAATCGCTTGAACCCAGGAGGCGGAGATTGCGGTGAGCTGAGATCGTGCCATTGCACTCCAGAGCCTGGGCCACAAGAGCGAAATTCCGTCAAAAAAAAAAAAAAGCCTTCCTTCCTGAAGAGAGTCACTGCAAAAAAAATGACTCCAAGGTTTCTAAAATGAGGGCTGAGGGACAACAAAACTAGTAAGTGAGACAGAAAATACTGGAAGATGAAAGTTGAGAGAGAAGTGTTTGAATAGGCTAAAATAATTTCACAGCTTCTTCCTATCCATACAGATATAAGAGTTCTTCCCTTGTGGGGGGCTTTGCTTCTTGAGCCTGATCACCCCATCTTGTCAGAGATCATCTCTACTTCCTCCCTTTTGATCCGGTTTCCATTCTTTTCTCCCCACTCGTAAAGTTTCAAGCTGCTTCTTACTTCTTTCATCACTCTGCCTGGTGTTAAGATACTGGTTGCCCTTTGTCCATACTTCGTTTATGGACTGTGCCTAACTCCATTCATTGCATGCATACCTTTGAACTGTGGAATCCCAGAACAAGAAGAGCCCTAGATTTCCTAGTCACCAGGAAGAGAATATCTTTACTTATCTTCTAAGGCCTCAGGTCTTCAGGAGATCTCAGATCTCTAGGATAGTGTTTTTCAATCAGTGTTAATTTTGCTCCCCTGGGGACATTTAGCAATGCCTGGAGATGTTTTTGATTGTCACAGCTGGGGCAGTAAGGAGGGTGCTACTGATGTCTGGTTGGGAAAGGCCAGGGATATTACTAAACACCTTACAATGCACAGAACAGCCCCCAACAACAAGGGATTATTTGGTCTAAAAAGCCAATAGTGCTGAAGTTGAGAAACCCAGCTCAGCCAGGCACTGCAGTTCACACCTGTAATCGCAGAACTTTGGGAGGCCAAGGTGGAAGTATTGCTTAAGCCCAGGAGTTCAAGACCAGCATGGGCAACATAGGGAAACCCTGTCTAAAAAAAAATTTTAAAGTAGCTGGGTGAGGTGGCACAGGCCTGTGGTGCTAGCTACTCAGGAGGCTGAGGTGGGAGGATCATCTGATCCCAGGATGTTGAGGCTGCAGTAAGCTGTCATCATGCCACTACACTTCAGCTGGGGCAACACAGTGAGATCCTGTCTCAAAAAACAAAAACAGAAAAAGAGAAACTTGGCTGTAGAATACTAAGCAAGTTAGGTTTTTTCACTTCAAGTCCCTACAAACTGGCACTTCCCCTCACTGGGATTGCAAACTCCTCTCTTCCAGATAACAAGAAGACATCTGCTTTCATTAACAAAGGGTTCATGAGGTTCATGCTCAATCTACTTCCAGCTGCCAAAGATCATGAAGTAACCAAGGAGTTCCTTAGCCTGGTCTTGCTGCTCCTCTCCACAGTCTGATCCCTCCCTCTATTGGTAAGCATTGCAAATGCAGCTTAAAGGACAGAATTCCCCAATCCCTACTATAAATATGTGGAGGGTGGCATGGGAATTGGGGTACTGTATTCAACAGGCTATCTTCTATCTCCTCAGCTTCCAAGAACAAAAATCTGTTGGAGACACAATAGAACTTTTTTTGTTTTTTTTTTTTTTTTGAGACAGAATCTCAATATTGTTGCCCAGGCTGGAGTGCAGTGGCACGATCTCGGCTCACTGCAACCTCTGCCTCCCAGGTTCAAGCGATTCTCCTGCCTCAGCCTTCCGAGTAGCTGAGATTACAGGTGTGTGCCACCATGCCCTGCTAATTTTTGTATTTTTAGTAGAGACAGGGATTTGCCTTGTTGGCCAGACTTGTCTTGAACTCCTGACCTCAGGTGATCCACCCACCTTGGCCTCCCAAAGTGCTAGGATTACAGGCGTGAGCCACTGCGCCCGGCCTACACAATAAAACTTTTAAGAAAATACATGAGTTCAGCTTGAAGGAAATTTTATTTCTTCAGGTACAGTATAAAATCATGCATTTTTCATAAAGACAGAATGAAAACCTACTATTATCAAGTATAACTTGTCTGCGTAACTTCAGAATTTTAGAAGCCATATTGGGAGCTCAAAGCATAAATTCAAGTACATTTATTAGCTGTGGAATCTTGGGCAAGTAATTCTGGAAGCATTAGTTCCTTCATTTGTTTTATATATATATATATATATATATATATATATATATATATATATATATATATTCAGCTGTATAACAGTAACTACCCTATATGGTTTAGTGAGACGCTAAGTAAACTATTGTGCATGAATCATTAAGAACAGTGTTTGGAATTCAATAAATGGCAGATATAATGAGTATGAAGTTATCAGGACACACTAAGCTCTGGTCCTATAGATAGGTAGCATCTGTCACCCTCTTGCTTTGCATTAGGTGGGGAAAAGAAGCAGCCGCATTGCCTCTCCTCTGATCTGCTCAAAAACTACCCTAAGCCACTGAAGCACAAAACTGGCTGTGTCTCTACTAAAAAAAAAAAAAAGTCTTTAGTGGTTACTATTGACAACCCCATCAGAGGTCAGATTAGTGGCCTACACCACTTTATAGTTCTGACTGCTAACCGGGAGATTGAATGGATTGACTAGCTCCTAGTTTCAAGTCTGGGAAGAACCCATTACATACATCAATGACCTGGTAGGAATCATTGATGGTAGGAGTCATTCCTGGTAGGAATCCCCCACCAACTCTGGATGGGCTTGACTTCATGACTGTATTCAACACAATCTACCTGTCATGGGATGAGGCCCAGGCACTTGTCTAATTCAGAACCCACTGTAACACAGAAAGAGAAAGGTGGGGAACAGAGACAAATCTTTGTTTTTAGATGCAAATGTACTTGATAAAACTGTAGAAAAAAGCAAAGAAATAATTATCATAAAAACAGACTGTAGTTATTATAAGGGGAAAAGAGAGTACATTTTGGGGCCAGGAGTGGTGGCTCATGCCTCTAATCCCAGCACTTTGGGAGGCCGAGGTGGGCGGATCACTTGAGGTCAGGAGTTCGAGACCAGCCTGGACAACATAGTGAAACCCCATCTCTACTAAAAATTAAAAATGAGCTAGGCATGGTGGTGCATGCCTGTAATCCCAGCTACTCAGGAGGCTGAGGCAGGAGAATTGCTTGAACCTGGGAGGCAGAGGTTGCAGTGAGCCAAGATTGCACCACTGCACTCCAGCCTGGGCAACAGAGCGAGACTCCATCTTAAAAAAAAAAAAAAAAAAAGAAAGAAAGCACATCATGGGCTCTGGGGTGGTCATAATATTCTCTTGATATAGGAGTTTATATTTAACTATTTGTTCAACTGTACTGATATGTTACATATTCTTTTTTGTATGTGTATTTCACAATTGAGTTGAAAATATACCACATCACTAATACTCTTCATTACACAAAGGATTATATTTTTCTAAGGAAAAGCTGGGGTATCAATAACTCAGTCTCTCAAAAGAATTAGACTTCAAATATGAGAAAGTTTCAAGTAATATTTTAACCTATGTATTCTGCTTATATTTTTCTTTTTGTACATGCCCAGGACTGATATATAATAAAAATTAGTATTTAAATCCATAAAAATTATTTCATTTATTTACTTATTTTTTTCTTTTTAGTGACAGAGACTTGTTCCATTGCCCAGATTGGAGTGCATTGGCATGATCATAGGTCACTGCAGCCTCAAATTCCTAGGCTCAAGTGATCCTCCAGCCTCAGCATCCTGAGTAGCTGAGATTACAGGAGTGTGCCACCATGTCCAGTTAATTTTTTTTTTTTTGATCATGCTATTTTGCCCTCGGCCTCCCAAGTGGTGGGGTTACAGAGAGGCATGAGCTACTGTGTTTGGCCAAATTTCAGTAAATATATATTAAAAATTCTAGGTCATAATAAAAAGGAAAGAAAGTTTCTTATGCATGTTGGTGTTGGCTCCCTTAACCATCACCCTAATACTGATCCAGTTAGTCTTATATAGCCAAGATCACTGCCTCCAGTTGGCCTTAAGGGTCATTCTACATTCTCTCCTAATAGAATCTTGACTAGAAAACCTCTGCTATCCTTCTTTTTTTGTGGGAGTTGGCCACAGTAGTCTCTGAGGCTTGGAGGCACTACTTCCTCTCATGAAGCTGAAGTTTCAGGGAGTAGCAGGTACAAATACCCTTTGACCAGAAATTCCACCTCAACCAGCAGATGCAATAAAAATCATTCATAAGTGAATGTGTAGAAAATTAATTAACTCTGAATATATTTAGTATATAAGTGTTATATTTGACATTCATAATATATTTAAAAATTAATTGTAGGATACATTTCTGAAATCTTGCAGAAAAACCACTCTTGTAAATGATTTTTATGATTGTAATAGAATGCTATCATGAGCGTAACCTCTTCACACACAGTGACGTTGACAGAATTGCTGACATTCATTTAGCTCTTCATTTACTTAAAAAGAATAATTAACATATTCTAATCACTGCAAAAACCTGTTCACTGACCCAAGATAATTTAAAAGCTTTCTTACCTTCCTAATTTTAGCAAATTCCTTTAGGGGTTATTTTTTAATCCCTCCAACAATTCATAGGTAGTTGGATGAATGAACAAATGAATCACTCTGTCAATCAACAGATTTTATTTATGGCTCCTATAGAAGAACAATAGCCTCATGGAGCAAATCAAACTGACAACTGACTACTTAAGAGACATTAAATGAGACAGCGTACCCGAAAGCACCTTAAAATGATGTTTGCAATGTCATAATAATTTAAGTAAAGTTATTAGAATTTCTATTTAAATGCAGGGCACCTCTCAGTTTCTTATTGTAACATATGTAAAGTATGGAAATTATAAAGAAATAATATTCAGAAGAAAAATTCTTGCCATTAAATAACACTCAAAAAAAAACCTGTTTTATGAATAAGTAAAGTCCAACAGTTCTTGGAACTAATTATTATTTTAACAGATTTTCCTAGGTTTGTTTTCTGCACATTTTTTTACATAGGTGAGCTCTTACTGTATGTATGACATTCTGCCTTTATGACTTTATATCATAAAGTATACTTTCCTCATAAGCACTAAAAGGTATTTAAAATATAATTTTATGGCTCCCTAATACATTTTGTACTTTTTAATTTACAATTTGCCTATTGTCAAATAATAGTATTATTCAAGGTTTTGGGGTTTTGTTTTTTTTTTTAAGTATTGTAACTGTACCAGGACAAGCTGCAGACAAAACCCCTCAGACACCGAGTTAAAGAAGGAAGAGCTTTATTTGGCCGGGAGCTTCGGCAAGACCCACGTCTCCAACAACCGAGCTCCCCGAGTGAGCAATTCCTGTCCCTTTCAAGGGCTCACAACTCTAAGGGGGTCCGCGTGAGAGGATCGTGATTGATTGAGCAAGCAGGAGCTACGTGACTGAGGGCTGAATGCACCGGTAATTAGAACGGAACAGAACAGGACAGGCATTTTCACAGTGCTTTTCTATACAGTGTCTGTAATCTATAGATAACACAACTGATTAGATCAGGGGTCGATCTTTAACTACCAGGCCCAGGGTGTGGCACCGGGCTATCTGCTTGTGGATTTCATTTCTGCCTTTTAGTTTTTACTTCTACTTTCTTTGGAGGCAGAAATTGGACATAAGACAATATGAGGCGTGGTCTCCTCCCTTATAACCAAAGCTATATTAAACATTTGGATGTTAATCTTTGCATTTATTATTTCTTAACATTGATTTACAGGAGTGTTATTAAAGGATGAAATTGTGCAGTGAATATCGGTTGATTTTTCCTGACTCGCTTCCATTTCCCCTTCTTTTGGTGGTAACATCTTACTTTGGAGAATCACACTGTATCCCAAGGAGCTTGGATAAAGCTGACTCCGTCCCTGGCTTCAAGGCTTGTGCAGGACCCCAGCGTGGGCAGTCAGGGCATTCTACCCCCCTGGCTGCAGTGGCTGGTTCGGGACTGAATATGAGACCTAACTCAGGCAACGAGGCTCACTCTTGGGCTTTTCCAGGAAAAGCCATTCCCTTTCGTTAGGGTTGGCTATCTGATATCAGCCTGTGAAAGGAAAATAAACCTTGGGGCCCCGAAATCACTAAGCCAAGGGAAAAGTCAAGCTGGGAACTACAATCACGCAAACCTTCTTCCCATATTAATTCCTAAATAAGATAACTACAAAGGTAAAAGAGCTACATACCTCCCTCACAATTTGCCCAGAAGGAAATTTCTTGTGGCCTCAAAATCTTTACCCTGAATCAGCTGCGTTGAATTTCACTCCCCACCCCAACCCCCCGCATCCCCCACCGCATACCTTCACAGGTGCAGGACAGAAAGTCCTCCCTCTGCTCACCTGAGACAAATGCATATCTGATTGCCTCCTCTGCTCTATTGTTTATGTAAAAATACAGACTCACTGAGCCAGAATAAATTGTGTAGTCAGTAAAAGGCTCATCAAGGACTCAGAAGAATGCAACCTTTTGTCTCTTATCTACCTATGACCTGGAAGTCTCCCCCACCACCACCTTGGGAACATGATCCTCAGAACCTCCTTAACCTTGGCAAAATAAACTTTCTACATTGATTGAAACCTGTTATTTTGGGTTGACCAGCCCAGCTTTCCAGCAATCACTGAGAGAGCTTGCCTTGGTATGAAGCTAACACAGAGGAGAGATGGAAGCTAGAGATGAAAAGGGGCAGATTCCTAACAATATAATTTCAGTAACAGAATCTATCCTGATGTAATCCACAAGAAATAATTCCCTGTTTAGCCTAAGCTAGTATGGAGTGGAGGTTTCTATCATGTGCATCCTTCAGAGACTAGATTGATAAAAAGAGTGTATGCGGGTTTAAGACTAATGCTTGGCTGGGCACAGTGGCTCACGCCTGTAATCCCAGAACTTTGGGAGACCGAGGCAGGAAGATTGTTGGAGCCTAGGAGTTCAAGAACAGCCTGAGCAACACAGCAAGACCCTGTCTCAAAAACATACATACATACAGAAGACTGAGGCTTTATTACTAACACTTTCAAAAAATTGTCATTTATAAACATGGCTGCATTGAATAAGGGTATCATCACACCCTTATCAGTGTTATATATTGCTATTTTGAAATCTCTACTTATTTCTATGAACCTATGGATTATAAAAAAGAAAAAAATTATACTAATTTTATAGAAAAATGTGATTTCACTTTAATCTGTATTTCTTAAATAACTAGTGGTAATAATGTTTTTAATGGGCTAGCCATTTTGATTTTGTTAATATATTTTGTTCATTATCTATTGTTGTTATTAATGTTGTTTCATGAAACCTGAATTAGTTTTCTACTAGGTATTTTTTAGATTTTATTTTCCATTTGTGTTACAAATATTTTTTAAATTTATTATTTGACTTCTCTGTAAGTAAGATCTATTTTTTCTCCCCTAGGGAAATTTCTTCAATTCACACTTGAGGAGGAGAGATCTGATAAGAAAAGGAAGTATGTTCAATCTATATTCTTATTCAACTTAGTAGAAAACATAAGTTTTAGTTTACAGAACAATAAGCATGACATCTTTGAATATTCTTAGTGGTATTTTTAACAAAAGAAACATTGATATTGTACATGTTCATGATAATCTAACCATTTCCCATGCCTCATATGCTTTCTAGAAGGAATTTATCAGAAGCAATAACGGAATTCTCAAAGGAAGACTGTTTAAATGATGAAAAGTCTATTAACACTATTTTTATTAAGTCTTTAAAATTATAGCAACAAGGATCATAAACCTTTATAAAAGTCAAAGACAGTGAGTGCCATCAGAATGAGAACTTAATTGAACCCTCTTAGCTCATTTTATCTAAGCTACTCATACGCAATGAGTTCTCCAAAAATACAATATTATCTAATATGTGTATGCCACACTACTCAAGAAGAGAGATGAACTATTTAATAGAAGTTATTATCATCTTTGTGGAAGTGGGTGAAATGGCTTTTCAGCAAACACTTTTGACTTTCTTTAGAAAAAGTAGCAGCTTCAATATTTGGCTATACATATTATATCTTTTGACAGGAGGATATAATCTTTTTTTTTTCTTTTTTTTTTTTTGAGACAGAGTCTCACTCTGTCACCCAGGCTGGAGTGCAGTAGCACAATCTCGGTTCGCTGCAACCTCTGCCTCCCGGGTTGAAGCGATTCTCTGGCCTCAGCCTCCCAAGTAGCTGGGATTACAGGCACCCGCCACCATGCCCAGCTAATTTTTGTATTTTTGGTAGAGACTGGGTTTCACCATGTTAGCCAGGCTGGTCTTGAACTCCTGACCTCAGGTATCTGCCCGCCTCAGCCTCCCAATGTGCTGGGATTGCAGGCATGAGCCACCACACCAGCCACTGGGCTATCAGTCTTTTAAGGTCAGAGACCCCATAGTATCCAATCCTGTGTCCTGAGTTTAGTGCAGTACCTGGACCCTGGTGGGTAGCAACAATTACTTATCTAAATGAATGAATGAGGCCAGCTCTTTATTGGTTGTGTAGGGAAATATAGTATGTCTATTATACTGAATTATAGTTCTGTATCATTTTGGCATCAATATTAATAATGATTATAAAAATAATAAAATCTAACAAGTTAACTTTTGAGTTGTTATTATGTGACGAGCAATTTCCTTACAGCAAACCCAAGGTAAATAATGTTATGTCCTCCTTTTTACAGTTGAGAAAACTAAAAAAATTGAACAACTATGAAAAAAAACAAGGACCTTCCACAGGAGACCCCTTCCTCCTTTTTGGCTACTTATCCAAGCGACTTGTTCAAGGCCACATTGCAATTTTACAAGACAGCCAGGATTAGAACCCAGTTTTCCAGATTGTCATGTGAAAAGTTTCACTTTATAAACCCCCCGGAGCCCGAGCAGTGAAGAAGAAGAGACAAGAACGACACCCTGACTGACCAAAGCCTGGGCGCCGCTGCGTCCCGCGCCCAGCGCCTACATCCCGCCGCCGTCGACGCCGCCACCATGCCCAAGACAAAGGCTGAAGGGGATGCTAAAGGAGATAAAGCCAAGGTGAAGGACGAACCACAGAGAAGATCCGCAAGGTTGTATGCTAAACCCGCTCCTCCAAAGCCAAAGCCAAAGCCTAAAAAGGCCCCTGCAAAGAAGGAAGAAGAGGTACCCACAGAGAAAAAGGGGAAAAGCTGATTCTGGCAAGGAGGGGAATAACCTTCCAGAAAATGCAGATGCCAAAACAGACCAGGCACAGAAAGCCTAAGGTGCTGGAGAGGCCAAGTGAAGTGTGTGCATTTTTGATAACTGTGTACTTCTGTACACAGTTTGTACCGTTTGAAATACTATTTTTTATCAAGTTTTATAAAAATGCAGAATTTTGTTTTACTTTTTTTTGTAAGCTATGTTGTTAGCACACAGAACACTTCATTGTTTTGGGGGGAAGGGGCACATGTCACTAATAGAATGTCTCCAGAGCTGGATTGATGGGGGAAAACACCTTTCCCTTCTAGTTTTGAGAGACTTCCTCTTGGCCCCCAGGAGGAGGGAGTCCCTGACTTTGACACACATGGCCAGCTTGGCACAAAAGCCTTGTGGTATGGAAAAACAAACTCATTTTTATGTCATCTTCCCCCTTTCCATCTCTCAGCATAGACTTAACTCCCTTAAGCCCAGATATCCACTGGGACCTGACCCTTAGTCATTGGTTACCAGCGTGTCAGGCAATCTGGACTCTCTCTTTTTTTTTTTTTTTTTTTTGAGATGGAGTCTCGCTCTGTTGCCCAGGCTGGAGTGCAGTGGCGCCATCTCGGCTCACTGCAAGCTCCGCCTCCCGGGTTCACGCTATTCTCCTGCCTCAGCCTCCCCAGTAAGCTGGGACTACAGGCGCCCGCCACCACACCCGGCTAATTTTTTTTGTATTTTTAGTAGAGACGGGGTTTCACCATGGTCTCGATCTCCTGACTTCGTGATCCACCCGCCTCGGCCTCCCAAAGTGCTGGGATTACAGGCGTGAGGCACAGTGCCCGGCCAATCTGGACTTTCCAGTGATGCCGCTGAGATGGCACCTGTCAAAAGAACAGTGGTTATCTTTCTAGATTGTGAGTCTTCAGAAAAATTCTGTTTTCATTTCACTTCCTAAAAGTCAGGGTCGGCTTGTGAAAAGTTGTTAAACAACAGGCTAAATGTGAAATGTCAACCCTCACCCTGTTCAGAGCATCAGATGAAGACTTCATTGCGTCTTTTATTGGCTTTCTGATTTTTGATAGTCCATTGAAGATGGGAATTTGAAAGTTGTTGTATACTGTTAACAATCGTCTGCCCATGTCCTGCCTGAAATACCATGATTGTTTATGCAAAGTATCTTTAATAAAGCTGTATACAGTTTGGCTTGGAAAAAAAATAAAATAAAACAAAAAATAAAAATAAAAAATTTTCCTCAATACCAGAGAAACTTTGGTGTGCTTCAGAATCACCTGCAGAGCTTTTAAAAAATACAGATCCCTGACTACTCCCATCCCACAACTCACATTCAGTGTATCTCTGGTGGATTCCAGTCATCTGCATTTAAAATAAATTCACCAATTAAATATCATATTCTGCCAACTTTTGGACCACTATTCCATAGTAAATGGCCTATTAAAAAGTGAGAGGGGCCGGGCACGGTGGCTCACACCTGTAATCTCAGCACTTTGGGAGGCCTAGGCGGGTGGATCACGAGGTCAGGAGATCGAGACCATCTTGGCTAACATGGTGAAACCCCGTCTCAACTAAAAATACAAAAAATTAGCCAGGCTTGGTGGCGGATGCCTGTAGTCCCAGTTACTCAGGAGGCTGAGGCAGGAGAATGGTGTGAACCCAGGAGGCGGAGCTTGCAGTGAGCCGAGGTTGCACCACCGCACTCCAGCCTGGGTGATAGAGCGAGACTCCGTCTCAAAAAAAAAAAAAAAAAAAAAAAAAAAAAAAGTGAGAGGGATTCCAATGACCCATTGCAAGTAAAAGGCTTTGTAAAAAAAATGTTTAGACCAAGATTTTAATAGTAACAATGTTTTTCATTGTGCAGCAGGGGCTGCCGTCCCATCATCACAGTTTGTGCCAACCCATGGGAGGCTTGGCACGTATACACACGTAAAATTGTAAGCCTGAAGTCTTTAGTTTTTATCCCATTTGGTTTTTAAGGGAAATCAAGGTTGAGAATAAGACCTCACACCTTGGAAACATAGAAAGTAAATTTATGGCCGGGCGCAGTGGCTCATGCCTGTAATCCCAGCACTTTGGTAGGCCGAGGCGGGCAGATGACAAGGTCGGGAGTCCGAGATCAGCCTGGCCAACAGGGTGAAATCCTGTCTCTACTAAAAATACAAAAATTAGCCAGGCATGGTGGCGCACACCTGTAGTCCCAGCTACTCAGGAGTCTGAGGCAGAAGAATCACTTGAACCCAGGGGGTAGAAGTTGCAGTGAGCCGAGATTGCTCCACTGTACTCCAGCCTGGGTGACAGAGCAAGACTCCGTCTCAAAAAAAAAAAAAAAAAAAAAAAAAAAGAGTAAATTTATGTACATGTTACATTAGAATGACACTGTGGACATATTTTTCTTCTTAAATATATGACTGCTAACTTTCTGAAATGTTTATTATCAATCTTAAAGCTTTGGAAATTAGCACAGTAAAACCAGCAACCACCTTTAAAAAGGTCAATTACACTCTTGAAAATTTCAGTAAATAGGAAGGTTAGATAACCTGAGAAAAGCAGGCATAGAGTGAAAAAACTGTTTTCTCTCCACTGGCATTGGTTTTCAAAATGATAGTCTATCAAATTGTGCGTTATCTGGGTAAAAATGTAACCTTTTAAAACAGGTTGCATTGTAATATGATTTTGTGTTTGTGAACCTGAAAGAAAAACTTTTCTAGATGATGAACCTAATTTACCATGTGGGAAATGATTTTAAAATAGGAAAAGAAATCCACTAAGAGGCCCTCTCTTTCTGTGAACATGAGCCTTAAGTTTCCTATAAGGGTAGGAGTCAGCAAACCTTCTCTGAAAGGGTCAGAGAGTGAATGCTGTAGGCTTGGAGACTATACAGTATTGACTGCGACTACTCAACTCTGCCGTTGTCGCACAAAAGTAGCCATAGAAAAGACATAAAAAGGCCGGGCGCGGTGGCTCACGCCTGTAATCCCAGCGCTTTGGGAGGCCGAGGCGGCAGATCACGAGGTCAGGAGATCGAGACCATCCTGGCTAACATGGTGAAACCCCATCTCTACTAAAACTACAAAAAATTAGCCGGGCGTGGTGGCGGGCGCCTGTAGTCCCAGATACTGGGAAGGCTGAGGCAGGAGAATGGCTTGAACCCGGGAGGCGGAGCTTGCAGTGAGCCGAGATGGCGCCACTGCACTCCAGCCTGGGCGAGAGAGTGAGACTCTGTCTCCAAAAAAAAAAAAAAAAGAAAATACATAAAAAATGACCATGGCTGTGTTCCAATCACGGAATGGAATGGAATGGAATGGAATGGAATGGAATAGAATAGAATAGAATAGAATAGAATAGAATAGAATTTACAGCAATAAGTATTGGGCGGAATTTGGCCTGCAAATTGTATTTTGCCAACTGTTGCTTTTCAGGCCTAAAACTATGACACTATGAAATACACTATTTGGGCTTCTAGAGGTAATAACTATAGGACATAATTATTTTAAATATTGTAAAGAAAATTAAATAACTTTGGTGTAAATGTTTATATTTCTCATACAAAACACATTCATTTCTTGATAAATTTAATACCAGTGTATACAACTTTTATAGAGTTAAGATCAGGCAGTAACTTTTTCTTTAATAATGCTTTTTTTCCTGTGTTGGGAGTATCACTTACTAAAAATATCCTAAAAGCATATTTACACACACATACACAGACCCATATCCACATATATACTTATAAGTGTCAACTAACTCGTAGTAATTAATCATGTAGTACATGTAATTAAGAGCCCGGCTTAGGAATCAAACAGGCCAGGGGTTATCTTTTAGTATGTGTCTCCCTCCCTATAATGTCTGTTTGCTCATCTACTAAATGGATAGGTAATACTTATCTCATTGGATTATTATGAGAATTAAAGAAGACAGTACATTAACATTGTGAAAAAGAAACAAAGATTAAATATTCATGTAGCATGTATAGCAATCTTTCTTTCTAGTTGTCATTGGCAACTGCTTGTCATCATCTAATAATGTCAGGACTGTAGTGTGTCAAGTACTTCATAATACCACTTAGGTACAATTAGCAGACAACTGATCAATGCTTTTTTTGGTAAAAATAATTTTTATGACCAATTCTTGTCTTGAAAAAAATAACATGATCATTTTTAGGATGAAACAGGGTTCTCCTTTAAATGCTGTGTTTCTAAGACACTCTGTTAGCTCATGGTTGGCAATAGATTTTCTCTGCTGAAAACTAAACTAAAATTTAGCTTTTTTTTTTTCATTTTAAGACAACTTTCATGGAAAAGGGCAATATTTTAAAAATCTCATCAGAAGTCTCACTTCATTAGTGATGAAGTAAGATCAAACCAGACTGAATTCTCCATAGAAAATAACCATAAACTCTGAACCTAAAACAAACAACAGCTAACCAAATCACTGGAGAGTAAGCAGAAAAGAGACTCTACGGGAGTGTACTTGTTTGGAAGAGGGGAATTCTACAAAGTGAGTTCTCATTTTCTGGAACTTTCAGCCTGAGACCAAGTGCAGATGATGCCAGAAGCAGCGGGGCTTAGAAAAGTGTGGTGGAAAATGGTCTGGAGAACCAGAAAACTGAAGTTCAGGAAATGGTTGCCATTGAAGGGAGTAAGTAAATGTTGGAAGGAAAGAGTCAGAAAGGGAGTATCTAAATTCTGCCTGCCTGTATCTTTCACTGGCTCCTTAACCACACACGTGTGGAGCAGATACAAAGCATCTCTGCCAGTAGTAATAGATCTGAAAGTGAGGCTGGGGATGGTGGCTCACACCTGTAATCCGAGCACTTTGGGAGGCCGAGGTGGGTGGATCACTTAGCCCAGGAGTTCAAGACAACCTGGGCAACTTATTGAAACCCCATCTTTAGAAAAAGTACAAAAATTAGTTGGGCATGATGACGTGTGCCTGTGGTCCCCACCACTTGGGAGGTGGAAGGATTGCTTGAACCCCAGAGGCTGAGGCTGCAGTGAGTTGAGATCATGCCACTGCACCTTAGCCTGGGTGACAGAGTGAGATCTTGGCTAAAAAAAAAAAAAAAAATTGATTTGAAAGGGGACTGAAGCTGCCACCCAACAACCAGATTTCACAGTTCAATTTTGCAAGGATTACAACAGATTAGACCACTGAAAGAACTTGAAAAGCTCCAAAGAGTACATTCATGTAAGAGTTTTATTAAAGGTAAAGAATTTGGTATATCAGGAGAAAGTACCAGCAATCATTGAGAGTCTGGGAGACTTCCAGGCACAGCTCCTTGGGTCTGACATACTCTCAATGAATATGTGCTTTATCTCAGGATTGAGTTGCAAGAGTTGTGTAATAAATCTTGGTTTCAGGAAAGCTGCCTAAAAGTTTCCAGCCAGTTTTTTCTAGTGACCTCTTAAATATAAAAGCCAAGACGAAAAGTGTAACTGGTCACACCGGGTGTCATTCATTCATAAACAAACCAGCTTTAGGTGCCTTCAGGGGAGTTTTGAACTAAAAACAGTACATTTACAAATCATTAGTTAGTCCACTGTTCTTTTCTCGGCCAAGATATAGTGCCAGACTTTCAGACATCCTAGAGGTAAACATAGAATTGTCTCAGTCCAGCCGAAAAATAATTTTGTCCTACATAAATTCTAATACAACAGTTGTCTGCTAATAAAATAACAGAGAAAAATAACAAAACCTACAATCTTAACAACTTAACATATCTAGAACACTATTAAAAATTGCCTGACATGAAAAGCCATATAAATGGAGCATAGAACCACTAGAAAAGAAAATCAACTAAGAGGAATATTGAGATGAGCCGAGTGTTAAAACAAGGGCTTTGAAGTGCTTATTTTAACTAATCTCAATAAATTAAAACAAAATATGTCCACAACTGAAGTAGAGAAATAGGAAATCTCATCAGAGAAATAAAAATAATTAAACAAAGAAAACAAATGGAAGTTCTGGAGCTGAAAAATAAAATATGTGAAAAAAATCAATAGATGGATTTAACAGCAGAATGAAGATAACAGAAGAATAAAGGAAATGAATTTGAAGATAGATTAAAAGAAAATATCCAATATGACAAAAAGGAAAAAAAAAATAAACAGAACCTCAGGGTTCTTTTTTTTTTGAGACGGAGTCTCGCTCTGTCACCCAGGCTGGAGTGCAGTGGTGCAGTCTCGGCTCACTGCAAGCTCCGCCTCCCAGGTTCACACCATTCTCCTGCCTCAGCCTCCCAAGTAGCTGGGACTACATGTGCCCGCCACCACGCCCAGCTGATTTTTTGTATTTTTAGTAGAGACGGGGTTTCACCATATTAGCCAGGATGGTCTTGATCTCCTGACCTCGTGATCCGCCCTCCTCGGCCTCCCAAAGTGCTGGGATTACAGGCGTGAGCCACTGAGCCCAGCCAGAAACTCAGGGTTCTGCTAGATGATAACCAGTGATTCTATCTATAAAATGGTTCCAGATAAACATGAAAAAGAGAATGTAGCAGAAAAAAAAATTTAATTGAAGATATAATGGTGAAAATGTCCCAAAATTTATGAAAAATAGAAATTTACAGTTTAATAGTTATACTGTTGAAAACCAAGATAAAGGGCAAGTCTTGAGAGCAGCAAGAGAAAAATAACACAGAAAAATGACATAGAAGGTAATGATAATTTAATTAACAGCTCACCACTCAGAAATTTTGAGGCCAGAAAAGAGTGAAACATTATGTGTGAAATTAAGAAAAATCTGTCCACCCAAAATTATATAACCTGTGAAAGTATTCTTCAAGAATGAAGGCAAAATAAAGATATTTTTCAGATACAAGAAAACAAGAGATTGCATCCTGATATAGTTTGTTTATTGGTCCCTGCCCAAATCTCTTGTTAAATTGTAATCCCCAGTGCTAGAGGTGGGGCCTGCTGGGAGGTGTTGGATCCTGGGGGTGGATCCCTCATGAATGGCTTGAGCCATCCCTTGGTGATAAGTGAACTCTCATGAGATCTGGTGGTTTAAAAGTATGTGGTACCACCTCCTGTCTTGTTCCTGCTACTGCCATGTGACCTGCAAGTTCCCTACTTCACCTTCTGCCATAATTGTGAGTTCCCTGAGGCCTCCCAGAAGCTGAGCAGATGCCAGCACTGTGCTTCCTGAAAGCCTGCAGAACGATGTGCCAAGAAAATGTCTTTTCTTGATAAATTTTACCCAGTCTCAAGCTTTTTGTTTGTTTGTTTTTGTTTTTTGATACAGGGTCTTGCTCTGTTGCCCAGGGTTGTGTACAGTAGCATGATTACAGCTCACTGCAGAGATCACAGCTCACTGCAGCCTCAACCTCCCAGGCTCAAGCAATTCTCCCACCTCGGCCTCCCAAGTAGCTGGGACTACAGGCATGCGTCAGCACACTCAGCTAATTTTTGTATTTTTTGTAGAGATGGGGTTTCACCGTGTTGCCCAGGCTGGTCTCAAACTCTTGGGCCCAAGCAATCCTCCCACCTTAGTCTCCCAGAGTGCTGGGATTACAGGTGTGGGCCACCGTGCCAAGTCTACAGGTATTTCTCTAAAGCAATGCAAGAATGGCCTAATATACATCCCCAGCAAAACTACACTACAAGAAATGCTGAAGGAAGATCTTCAGGCCAGAGAAAAATGTTGTCAGATGAAAAATGAGATCCTCAGAATTAGGAACATTAAAAATAGTAAATACCTGTGTAAATGCAAAAAAGTATTTCATTGATTTATTTTGCTTTTTCCCTTTTAATTTTACTATAATTTAAATAATGGTTTTAAACCACAATTAAGATATTGTCTTATGACATATATAATGCATTTTGGGTCTTGCTTTTTTATAGCAAAAAAGACAGAGGGGAATATGAAACAGTATGCTTGGAAAGATTTTTTATTCTACATGAAGTGGTATAATATTAAGCGTAAGTGGACCATGAAACATTTGAGACATAATTCCCACAGCAATCACTAAAAATGTATAATAAGGAAGTATATCTAAAATGTCAATGGGAAAATTAAAATGTAACTTTTAAAAATATTCAAATAAGAAAACAGAAAAGGCAGAGCAGAGCATGAGAAAACAGAGAGACAAGTAACAATCAAAAAAACAAAGTGATATACCTAAACCTACTCAAATAAATGATTATAATAAATGCTAATGAACTAAAGATGACAATTAAGGCTGGGCTCAGCTGCTCATGCCAGTAATCTCAGCACTTTGGGAGGCCGAAGTGGGCAGATCATGACTCCAGGAGTTCAAGACCAGCCTGAACAACATGGTGAAACCCCATCGCTACTAAAAATACGAAAATTAGCCAGGTGTGGTAGTGGGTGCCTGTAATCTCAGCTACTCAGGAGGCTGAGGCAGGAGAATCGCTTGAACCCAGGAGGCGGAGGTTGCAGTGAGCCTAGATCATGCCATTGCACTCCAGCCCGGAAGACAGAGTAAAACTCTGTCTCAAAAAAAAAAAAGATGACAATTAAAATGTTTCTCAGAATAATGCATACAGCAAAACTTAATTGTAATCTGTCTACAAGAGATATACTTTGAACACAAAGGTATAGACAGATAGGCTAAGAATAAGTAAATAGATGGAAAATGGCATACCACATAAATAGTACACAAAAGAAGATTGGAGCAGCTATATTAATATCAAATAAAATAGATCTCAAGACAAGAAATATTATCAGACATTAAGAAGGATATTTCATGATGACCAAAAGGTCAATGTAAGCTGAGCACATTGGCACGCACCTGTAGTCCCAACTACTAGGGAGGCTGAGGCAGAAGGATCACTTGAGCCCAGGAGTTTGTGTCCAGCCTGAGGCACTTAGAGAGATCTCATTTCTAGATAAATAAAAAGGTTAATTTATTAGGAATACTTACTAACCAAAAATGTGCTTACCTCTAATAATAGAGCTTCAAATATATGAAGCAAAAATTGAAAAAATTAAAGTGAGAAATAGACAATTCCACAATCATACATGAGGGTTTAACATTTATCTCAACAATTGATTCCATCAAACCACTACACAAAATTCATCAAAGACATAGGTGATTTGAAAAACACTATTAATCACCTGGATAATACTATCTATAGAACTCTATATCCAAGAGTAGTATAACATTTCTTTTAAGTTCACATGGTACGCTTACTAGGTAAACTATATTCTGGGCCATAAAAAAAACCTCAGTAAATTTAAAAAGATTGCAATAATACAGATTACACCTAACCAAAATAGAACTGAATTAGAAATCAATAGCAATAGATACCTAGGGAAATCCAAAATATTTGAATATTTAAAATTAAACTTCTAAATAATCAGTGGGTTTAAAAATAACAAGGTAATTAAATTTTTTCCACTAAATTATAATAAAAATATAGCATATTAAAAATTGTGGGCTGGGCATGGTGGCTCATGCCTGTAATCCCAGCACTTTGGAGACAGAGGCAGGTGGGTCACCTGATGTCAGGAGTTCAAGACCAGCTTAGACAACATCGTGAAACCTCATCTCTACTGAAAATACAAAAATTAGCTGGGCGTGGTGGCACGTGCCTGTAATTCCAGCTACTCAGGAGGTGGAGACAGGAGAGTTACTTGAACCCAGGAGGTGGAGGTTGCAGTGAGCCAAGACTGCGCCTCTGCACTCCAGCCTGGGTGACACAGCGAGACTCCATCTCAAAAAAAAAAAAAAATTATGGGATGCAACTAAAACAGTGCCTAGAAAAAATATAGCATTGAATACTTATATTAGAAATGAAGAGGCCAGGAGTTGTGACTCATGCTTGTAATACCAATACTTCAGGAGGCCGAGGCAGGAGGATTGCTTGAGGCTAGGAGTTTCAACTCCAGGAGTTCCAGACTCCTGAGTAACAAAGGCAGACTTCAGCTCTACAAAAAAAAAAAAACTTTAAAAAAAAGAAAAAGAAAAAAAGAAAGAAATGAAGAAAGGAATGAAATCAACTATCAGCGTTTCTACTTGAAGAAATTAGAAAAAGAGTAAATTAGACTGGGTATGGTGGCTCATGCCTGTAATCCCAACACTTTGGGAGGCCTAGGCAGGCGATTGCTTGAGTTCAAGAATTCAAGACCAGCCTAGGCAACATGGCAAAACCCCATCTCTAGTAAAAATACAAAACATTAGCCGGGTGTGGTGGCACACACCTTTGGTCCCAGCTACTTGGGAGACTGAGGTGGGAGGATTGCTTGAGCCCAAGAGGTGGAGGTTGCAGAGTCAAGATCACACCACTGTACTCCAGCCCAGGTGACAGGGCAAGACTGTTTCCAAAAAAAAAAAAAAAGGCTGGGCGCAGTGACTCACACCTGTAATCCCAGCACTTTGGGAGGCCGAGGTGGGTGGATCACAAGGTCAGGAGTTCGAGACCAACCTGGCCTATATGGTGAAACTCCATCTCGACTAAAAAGTACAAAAATTAGCCAGGCGTGGTGGCAGGTGCCTGTAATCCCAGCTACTAGGGAGGCTGAGGGAGGAGAATCGCTTGAACCCGGGAGGCAGAGGTTGCAGTGAGCTGAGAACGCACCACTGCACTCCAGCCTGGGTGACAGAGCGAGACTCCATCTCAAAAAAAAAAAAAACATAAACTCAAACTAGGAAAAAAGAATGGAAATAATATAAAGATAAGAAATAAGTGAAACAGGAAATAAATGGGAAAATATCAATGAAACCAAAAGTTGTTTCTTTGAAAGGATCAATTAAATTGATGAAAATGATCCTTAGATTTATTAAGAAAAAAAGAGACAATGCAAATGCACATGATCAATATCAGTAATGATAGAGGAAGCATCAGCACAAATCATGCAGATATTAAATGACAAAGATCATAAACAATTTTTGACAAAAATCTGAAAAACTAGATAGTTGGACAAATTACTTGAAAGATGCAAATTAACATAACTGATCAAGAAAAAGAAGAAAACTTGCATAGCCATATATCCATTATAGAAATTGAATTCGTAATTAGAATCCTTCCCACAAAAAAATCTTCAGGCTTTAATGGCTTCACTGGTGAATTCTATTAAGAATTTAAGGGGTCAAGCATGGTGGCTCATGCCTGTAAGCCTAGCACTTTGGGAGGCCAAGGTGGGTGGATCATGAGGTCAGGAGTTCCAGACCAGCCTGGTCAACATGGTGAAACCCCATCTCTACTAAAAATACAAAAATTAGCCAGGCATGGTGGCACACACCTGTAGTCTCAGCTATTCAGGAGGCTGAGGCAGGAGAATCACTTGTACTCAGGAGGTGGAGGTTGCAGTGAGGCAAGATCGCACCACTGTACTCCAGCCTGGGTGGCAGGGTGAGACTCCATCTCAAAAAAAAAAAAAAGAATTTAAGGAAGAGTATGGACATAGTGGCTTTGAGGGGTCAAGGTGGAGGAATAGCTTGAGGTCAGGAGTTTGAGACCAGCCTGGGCAACATAGTGAGACCCCATCTCTACCAAAAAGAAACAGAATTCGCCAGGTATGGTGTTGCCTGCCTTTGGTCCTAGCTACCCTGGAGGCTGAGGTGGGAGGATCACTTGAGCCAAGGAATTTTAGCCTGTAGTAGGCTATGATTGTGACACTGCATTCCAGCTTCAGCAACAGAGACCCTGTCTCAAGAAAAAAAAAAAAAAAAAAAAAAAAAGCCCAATAATCCTATTGAAATGGATTCAGAAGATTATTTTCTGGTACTAAAAAAAGGCAAAGATAACACAAGCAAAGACAACTACAAGCAAAGACAGCTATAGGCCAATATCCCTTTTGAACATAGATGCCAAAATTTTTTTTTTTTTTTTTTTTTTTTTTAGATGAAGTCTCGCTCTGTCGCCCAGGCTGGAGTGCGGCAGTGTGATCTCGGCTCACTGCAAGCTCTGCCTCCCGGGTTCACACCATTTTCCTGCCTCAGCCTCCCAAGTAGCTGGGACTACAGGCGCCTGCCACCACGCCTGGCTAATTTTTTTGTATTTTTAGTAGAGACGGGTTTCACCATGTTAGCCAGGAAGGTCTTGATCTCTGATCTGCCTGCCTCGGCCTCCCAAAGTGCTGGGATTACAGACTTGAGCCACCATGCCCAGCCATAGATGCCAAAATTCTTAACAAAATTTTAGTAAATCAAACTCAGTTACAGAGAAGAAAAAGATTAATGCATCACAACTAAACAGGATTCATTCTGGAAATGCAAGGCTGATTCAACTCATTAAAAGTATTCAATTTCAGCATATCAACAAACTGATGAAAAAACTACAAGTCATTTAAATAGGTGTAAGCCGAGTCTGGCAACTCACGCTTGTAATCCCAGCACTTCAGGAGGCTGAGGTGGGCAGATAGCTTAAGCCCAGGAGTTACAGACTAGCCTGGGCAACGTGGCAAAACCCTCTACAAAAACATACAAAAATTAGCTGGGCATGGTGGTGGGTGCCTATCATCCCAGCTACTTGGAAGACTGAGAGGTGGGAGGATTGCTTGAGCCCAGGAGTTCAAGGCTGCAGTAAGCCATGATGGTGCCATTGTACTCCAGCCTGGCTGACAGAGTGAGACCCTGTCTCAAAATAAATAAATAAATAATAAATAGATTTTTTAAAAAATCATTTTGCCGGGCGCGGTGGCTCACGCCTGTAATCCCAGCACTTTGGGAGGCCGAGGCAGGTGGATCATGAGGTCAGGAGATCGAGACCATCCTGGCTAACATTGTGAAACCCTGTCTCTACTAAAAATACAAAAAAATTAGCCGAGCATGGTGGCAGGCACCTGTAGTCCCAGCTACTCAGGAGGCTGAGGCAGGCGAATGGCATGAATCCGGGAGGCGGAGGTTGCAGTGAGCCAAGATTGCGCCATTGCACTCCAGCCTGGGCGACAGAGCAAGACTCCATCTCAAAAAAAAAAAAAATCATTTTACAAAATGCATAATCTATTCTGATAAAAGCCAGCAAATTAGAAGTAAAAAAAAATTTCTTCGATCTGATAAAGAACATCAACAAAAGATCTATAGCTAACATCATACTCAGTGATGAAAGAATGCCTTTTACCTAAAATCAGGAAGAAGAGAAGAATGTCTGCTTTCATCACTTACATTAAACATTGTATTGGGCATTCTTTTTTTTTTTTTTTTTGAGACAGAGTCTCACTCTGTCACCCAGGCTGGAGTACAGTGGTGTGATCTCGGCTTACTGCAACCTCCATCTCCCAGGTTCAAGCGATTCTCCTGCCTCAGCCTCCCAAGTAGCTGGGACTACAGGCGTCCCCCCAACACAACTGGCTAATTTTTGTATTTTTAGTATAGACGGGGTTTCACCATATTGGCCAGGCTTGTCTCGAACTCCTAACCTTGTGATCCGCCCACCTCAGCCTCCCAAAGTGCTGGGATTACAGACGTGAGCCATCACACCTGGCCTGTATTGGTCATTCTAATCAGTACAACAAGGCAAGTAAAAGAAATAAAAGGCATAGAGTTGGAAAAAAATAAGTAAAACTTTTTTTTTTAACATTTTTCACTTTCAATACCATAAACCTTGAAAAACTATTTGTCAAAAATATGATCATGTATCTAGAAAAATCCTAAAGAATCTACATAATAGTTACTAATAATGAATTTTATGAGATCATAGAAGACCAAAATAAAATAATTAACTCTATAATTAAATACTAGTAATGAATAACATAAAACTTTAAAAACTGTTTTTTATAAGATATCAAAAGAAAAGCAATAACATTTAGATTTAACAAAAGATCTGTAGATGGAAAACTATCAAATATTAAAGAAAACCTAAATAAATTAACAAATACATCATATTCATGAATTGAAAGACCAGTAAAGATGTAGATTCTCCCTAAATCTATGTCATCCTAATCAAAACCCCAACAGATATTTAATAATAGTGTGTGTGTGAAAACTGAGAAATTGATTTTTAAAACATATGAAATATGTGGTCACACAAAATTAGTACAATCTAGAAGAACAACAACAACAAAACTGGAAGACTTATGCTACTATATTTCAAGGCTTCTTATATGGTCAAAAGGGATATGAGGGAAAAAAGACTTATTATGAAGGTATAGTAATTAGAAAAGCATGTTACTGGCAATAGTAGATGAACTGACCAATGGAACAGAGTAGGTGGTTCAGAAACAGACCCACATACACTGTCACCTAATTTTTGACAAAGATGACACTGCAGTACAATGGGAACAGAAAGGTCTTTTTAATAAATTATGCTGGATGAACTGAATTTTCATATTGAGAAGCAGGTAACTTGACCTCTACTTTATACCATACACAAAATCAATTTTATAAGTAAAATTACAGATCTAAATCTAAGAGAGAAAACAAAAACTTTTAGAGGAAAACGTAGGAAAAAAGTCTTGATTTTTGATTAGGCAAAGATTTATTTAAAAGATCATAAAAAAAGAGCTATAAAGAAAAAAACGCTGATAAACTAGATTATATTAAACGTACATACTTCCATTTATCACAAGAAACAAGAGACTAGAAAAGCAAGCCAGAGGAAGAAAAGTTATTTGCTACACACATAACTGACAAAGGACTCATAGCCAGAATTAAAAAGAACTCTTGGCTGGGCACGGTGACTCACAACTGTAATCCCAGCACTTTGGGAGGCTGCGACGGGTGGATCGCCTAAGGTCAAGAGTTCGAGACCAGCCTGGCTAACATGATGAAACCCCATCTCTACTAAAAATACAAAAATTAGCTGGGTGTGGTAGCAGGTGCCTGTTATCCCAGCTACTCAGGAGGCTGAGGCAGGAGAATCGCTTGAACCCGGGAGGCAGACGTTGCAGTGAACTTAGATTGTGCCCTTACACTCCAGCCTGGGCAACAGAGTGAGACTCCGTCTCAAAAAAAAAAGAACTCTTACAAATTAATTTTTTTTAAAAAGATAGACAACTCAAAAGACCTGTTCTAGAATGTTCAGAGGATTATTATTCATAATACCCCCAAACTAGAAATTACCCAAAAGCCTATTACCAGAAGAAAAGATAAATAAGTCATAGTCTATTCACATAATAAATCATCTAGGACTGTCTGCAACAATACAGATGAAAATGAAAGAAGTCGGGCCGGGCAAGGTGGCTCATGCCTGTAATCCCAGCACTTTGGGAGGCCAAGGCAGGTGAATCACGAGGTTAGGAGTTCAAGACCAGCCTGGCCAACATGGTGAAACCCCGTCTCTACTAAAAATACAAAAAATTAGCCAGGTGTGGTGGTGGGCGCCTGTAACCCCAGCTACTCAGGAGGCTGAGGCAGGAGAATTGCTTGAACCTGAGAGGCAGAGGTTGCAGTGAGCCGAGATCGCACCATTGCACTCCAGCGCAGGCGACAGTGCGAGACTTTGTGTCAAAAAAAAAAAAAAAAGAAAAAAAAAAAAAGAAAAAAGAAAAAGAAGTCAGACACACACAAAAAAGTATATTTTTTAAGACTTCATTTAATTAAAGAGGGGAAAACTAGAATAGTAATACATTTATCCTTATGGGGGAAGTAATGGAAAGGAGAGGGCTCATAGAGGACTACAGGGATGTTCATGTCATGTTCTATTTCTTGATATGTCAGCTGATTAAATAGGTGTATTCAATTTGCAAAAACCCTTCAAACTACACACTTAGAAGATGTTCCTTCTTCTGTAGGTACATTACACTTCAGAAAATTAGAATAAAAGAAAAGAGGGAGAGGGAATTTTTCAAAGCAAAAGTGAGTAGCAAGTCAGTGGCCAAAGAAGAACTCCAGCTTCTTGCTTGGAGTCTGGCTTTTTCCCTCCCAGAGACCAGGGGACAGGGTGAGGCAGGAGGGAAAGGCCATTATCAGAAAGGCCATTTGGACTGGGCCACCTGTTCAAGAAATGTCTCAAATGTTAAATTTTGATATCATTTCCAAATAAAATTATACATATAGTTAGGAGATAAACTGACAATTTGAAAAGAAGAATACATTCCTCCAAAAACTTTAAAATAAGGCACTTGACAGTGAACTATTAGGTAATTTTTAATTTTTACAATACCTCCTATTTTCATATAAGTAGTAAAATAATATAGCTGCATGGGTGTATTAGTCTGTTTTCACACTGCTATAACGAACTGCCCAAGACTGGGTAATTTACAAAGGAAATAGGTTTAATTGATTCACAGTTCAACAAGGCTGGGGAAGCCTCAGGAAACTTACAATCATGGCAGAAGGCGAAGGGGAAGCAAGGCACCTTCATCATAAGGCAGCATGAAGGAGAAGCACCAAGCGAAGGAGGAAGAGCCCCATGCAAAACCATCAGATCTTGTGAGAACTCACTCACTATTACGAGAATAGCATGGGGGAAACCACCCCCATCATTCAATTACCTCCACCTGGTCTCTCCTTGATACGTGGGGATTACAGGGATTATGGGGATCGCAATTCAAGATGGGTGGGGACACAAAGCCTAACCATATCAGTGGGTTTTTAAAATTAAAATTGTTTACTAGTTAAGTATTAAAGTACTCCATAAATTTTTAAATCTGGTTTTGGCATATCTTTATTTTTAAGTATATTGGAATACCTCCTGCCCACAGGCCCCACTCCCCTGGCTCAATAGAACTGACTCTGACTTCACCTCTGAGAGGCCAAGTTTATCAGGATTGCCTGTGCACAAAATCACCGAAATACTAAAATAAATAATAGGCTTTCCATAACCATTTCTTACATCTGAATCCAAAATTGCAGTTTTCATTGCCTAATTAAGGTCTAAAATGAAGATTGATTTTATGTCCTATCTGGTTTAGTGGTCAATTAACTAAAACGTCTGTTAAAACTGGCTACATTTTAGAATTAGTCTAAAACACAATATGCTGCCTTTCTATGGATGGGTGTAATCAAAAGGTCTGCTTCGCAACTCTACAGTCTTTTCCCCAGTGGGTAAACTGTTTCATAAAAGGCTAAGCTACTGAAAGCCAAGAATCACATCTCAGAGCTGCTCTTATGACCTCTATTAGAAATTTCTAAAATATTCTATCATCTATGGTAATCATAACTTGCTTTCTTTCACTTTCTTTAATATTTTAAATTTCAATATTTAAAATCCACTGTACTTCAAGAATGAACATAAAAGAACTACTAAAATTACTGCAGGGAAATCAGTTACTGGAATGAATCCCACTCAATATCACACAAATCCGTAAGAGATTAAAAAGTCACCTGAACTTTCCAAACATATCAAGTCTACTATTTTGATTGGGAATTTTATAAAATGGGAAATATTGAATACCAACTGTCTCTGCTGTTTGCAACGTGTGTTAGAAGTTTAGTGAGAACAGGCCGGGCGCGGTGGCCCACTCCTCTAATCCCAGCACTTTGGGAGGCCAAGGTGGGTGGATCACGAGGCCAGGAGTGCGAGACCATCCTGGCTAACACGGTGAAACCCCGTCTCTACTAAAAATACAAAAAATTAGCTGGGCATGATGGCATGCGCCTATAGTCTCAGCTACTCAGGAGGCTGAGGCAGGAGAATTGCTTGAACCTGGGAGGCAGAGGTTGCAGTGAGCCGAGATGGCGCCACTGCACTCCAGCTTGGGTGACAGAGTGAGACTCTGTCTCATTAAAAAAAAAAAAAAGAAAAAAAGTTTAGTGAGAACAACCTGCCTACAAGTATCTCACCATTCAGGGCCAGGAAAATGGCAGGGTTTGGGGAGAGGAGGGGTCAAGTGTGAAACATAAAGGAAAACATTTTGAATATGAATAAATCTGAACACTATACTATGTTGGAGTCAAGTTATTTCTGAAGTATTAAGATTGAATACATATTAACTTTAAAAGCATTTAAACATCCTTTTTTTTTTTTAATATTTAATAGTAGAAGTGGGGCCTCACTATGCTGCCCAGGCTGGTCTCTAACTTCTGGCCTCAAATGATCCTCCCACCACAGCCTCCCAAAGTGCTGGGATTACAGGCATGAGCCACCACACCCAGTTCAAAAAACATTCATTCTTTTTTAGGAATACATACATAACTTCTTCAGATTAGGGTCATCCAAGTGTAAAATTGTTAAGTTATTCCTACATGTTATTCAATGTTTCCAATTCTGGTATCTCATTTCAGCTCACAGCTTTTACTTTAACCACTTATCATCAAGAACCAAAGAGCTAATAATCCACTTTCTAGTGTACTGAATTGCACTTGTATAAACAGTGTCGAGTTTCTCTGTTATCTCTGTAATTTACTTTAAAATACTTCCGCAAAGATGTAGTACTATAAATGTGTGTGTTGGTTACTTTAAGCTACATGTAGGGTAGCTGAATACTTTAATCAATAATTCGTGGCCTAGGGGTGAATAGCAAATATTTATGAGAAAGGTTGCCTCAGAGAAGGTTACAAGTGCTTCTGTATCCATGTTTCTGAAACACCTCAGACATCTTATTAACTGAATGTAAAACCTGGATTTTCACTGGTGAACTTAGTGTTGTGTTAATAACCATAATGAAGTTTTTAAAAAGAAAGCGTGGCAACAGGATGGAACCTGAGGTCATTAAGTTAAGTGAAATAAGCCAGGCACAGGAAGACAAATGTTACATATTCTCACTCACATGTTGCAGCCAAAAAAAAAAAAAAATGGATTTCATGAGATACCCATGCAGAATATCTCATTCTCCCCTTATGCAGGTTGTCTCTTTACTGTTACCAGAGGCTTGGGAGGAAAAGAGGGAGGTGGGGAGATAGTTTGCAAATATTTTCTCCTCTTATGCAGGTTGTCTCTTTACTGTTACCAGAGGCTTGGGAGGGAAAGAGGGAGATGGGGAGATAAAGAGAAGTTGGTTAGTGGGTATAAAATACAGTTAGGTTAGGCCGGGCGCGGTGGCTCACGCCTGTAATCCCAGCACTTTGGGAGGCCGAGGAGGGTGGATCACAAGGTCAGGAGTTTGAGACCATCCTGGCTAACACGGTGAAACCCCGTCTCTACTAAAAATACAAAAAAATTAGCCGGGCGTGGTGGCAGGTGCCTGTAATCCCAACTACTTGGGAGGCTGAGGCAGGAGAATGGCGTGAACCCGGGAGCTGACATCATGCCACTGCACTCCAGCCTGGGCGACAGAGTGAGACTCCGTCTCAAAAAAAAAAAAAAAAAATACAGTTAGATTAGACTTGGAAGTTCTGTGGAGAAAAATAAATAAATAAATAAAAATAAAAATACAGTTAGAATGAATAAGTTATTTGGTAGTACAGTAGGGAAATCACAGTTAATAGAAATTTATGGTATATTTCAAAACAGTGAGAAGAATTGTAATGTTCCCAACACAAAAAAAAGATAAATATTTGAGGTGATGGATATCCCAGTTACCCTGATTTGATCATTACACATTGTATACATGTAACAAAACATCAAATGTACCTCCAAAATATGTACAACTAAGGTATATGAATTTTTTTTTAATAATTCCTTTGGGGAAAAAAAAGAACTTTTTATGTAAGATGGTAGTCTCCTCATCTAAAATGAACACAGTCAGGATTTCATAGAGAATTCAAAATAAGTTGTATAAAATGGTTAAATGCCTGCTTGCTAATAATTGCTTATTAAATAAGCAACTGGGCCGGGCGCAGTGGCTCATGCCTATAATCCCAGCACTTTGGGAGGCCAAAGCAGGGCGGATCACAAGGTCAGGAGTTTGAGACCAGCCTGGCCAATGTGGTGAAACCCCATCTCTACTAAAAATACAAAAATTAGCCGGGCGTAGTGGCGGGCGCCTGTAGTCCCAGCTACTTGGGAAGCTGAGGCAGGAGAATTCTTGAACCCGGGAGACAGAGGTTGCAGTGAGCTGAGATCGAGCCACTGGACTCCAGCCTGGGACACAGAGTAGAACTCCGTCTCAAAAAATAAATAAATAAATAAGCAACTGTGTTAATCTATTTCATGTGTCAACTTGACTGACCGCAGGGTGCCCAAATTAAACATTATTTCTGGGTGTACCTGAGAAGGTGTTTCTGGATGAGATTAGCACTAGAATCTTCCAAACACGTCAAGCCTACTACATTTGGATTTCACTTTTAAATCAGTAACCATCTGACACTAAAGTACTACTCATTGCCAGTTATTAATAACAAACAAACAAAAGGCTCTCTTAGAGATCTAACAGGGTTCCTAAATGTTGCCATTCTTAGAGCTATGAGGGCTGAAATGTTTCTAATACACATAGAACTTATAATTGCCATGATGCATGATTTCTTAGAGATAATTGTGTTGTTTACACTATCTATCCTAAATGAAAACGGTATTAAATTTGTTAGTGTCTATAAAGGACATGTACTATATAAAGTTGTCCATAGGTACCTCATCCTGTGCACCAAAGCAGACTTAGACATACAACAGAAAGGCATTTTAACGACTTTGGTAAGTGGTGCTATAACCAAGCATTGTAAATATTTCATTTGGGAATTTTTATCTCAGCTGACTTTTGAAGCAATGCTAAGTTTTTTTCTTTTTCTTTGGCATCAGTTCAACAAGTATGTAAATAATTTGTTCGTGCATTTGTTATTTTTAACTACACATTTGTTCATATTCTGGATAAAGCCTGCATAAAAAATGTGCACATAAGGAATCACCTCCACTTGCAAAATGTTCTCTATATTTTTCAAGTTTCCACTTCGTGTAGTATAATGCTAAACATAAAATGATGGCAAGTGGTCATCTTGAGGAGGTTAGTACTTGGCTAAGTGATTTTTAGATAATAAATAATATTCATTCTATCTGCCCTAAAATAAACATATTGAAATATTTCTTTATTTGCTACATGATCTTCAAAAGATTTAAATTCTTAGCATAAGGCCGGGTGCGGTGGTTCACGCCTGTAATCCCTAGCACTTTGGGAGGGCGAGGCAGGCGAATCACATGAGGTCAGAAGTTGGAGACTAGCTTGGCCAACATAGTGAAACCCTGGTCTCCACTAAAAATACAAAAATTAGCTGGGCGTGGTGGGACACGCCTGTAATCCTAGCTACTGGGGAGGCTGAGGCAGGAGAATCGCTTAAACCCGGGAGGCGGAGCTTGCAGTGAGCCGAGATCATGCCATTGCACTCCAGCCTGGAGAACAAGAGCGAAACTCCATCTCAAAAAAAAATTATTAGCATAAAGAGCCAAGATTTAGTTTTAGACTGTCATTCAGTACAAATGACCTGTTAGTTCTCTTCCTATAAAAAAACTAATATACATGGAAAATCAAGAGTTGCAGATTCCAAACCTCTAGACTTTCTTCTGATCATTTTTTAAAGTGAATATACTATTGATAGGATTCTTTTTTTTTTTTTTTTTTTTTTGAGAGGGAGTCTCACTCTGTGGCCCAGGCTGGAGGGCAGCAGCACAATCTTGGCTCACTGCAACCTCTGCCTCCCGGGTTCAAGCGATTCTCCTGCCTCAGCCTCCTGAGTAGCTGGGATTACAGGCATGCACCACCATGCCTAGCTCATTTTTAATTTTTAGTAGAGACTAGGTTTCACTATGTTGTCCAGGCTGGTCTCGAACTCCTGACCTCAAGTGATCCGCCCACCTCGGCCTCCCAAAGTGCTGGGATTACAGGCGTGAGCCACCGCGCCCGACCTGCATGTTTCTTTTTTAAAGAATCGAACTAGTATTTCTCTGTTTTCCTACCATTGTTTGCTTGCTTTTTCAAAATTCCCTTAAAGAAAACTCAAAGGCTAAAGTTGAATGAAGTTCAACTCTGATATTGGCTTTGTTATTAACTGCATAACTAAAAAATAATAATGTCTACCATAGTCCCTGAGGCATAATAAATATTTACTGAATGAA
Organism: Homo sapiens; assembly: GCF_000001405.40. Taxonomy (NCBI): domain Eukaryota; kingdom Metazoa; phylum Chordata; class Mammalia; order Primates; family Hominidae; genus Homo; species Homo sapiens. Next base: position 121,430,498 of record NC_000006.12, read on the forward strand.
TGAATTCACAAGTGATCATAAAAAATTAACCAAGCTTCATTGAAAAGGTAAAATTAAACAAATAAACATGAAATAGTAAATGATTTACCAGTTTCTCTTTGCAATGTTCATTTTCACTCTGCACAGAAGGTGGAGCCAAAGACATATTTATCCACTGGCTGGAATTCTTTCCCACTCAACAAAGCAAAACAAATTCTTCCCTTTACAAATACCTTTTTGTGTAGTTTGGTTTACATAAGATTCGCTTGGAGGTAAATGTGGGCTACAAAAATGAGTTGAAATTTTACACAGCTCAAATCAATCTTTGATCCTTAAACATTTTTCAAGGATGATAGAATGCTAAGTAAATGGGAAAGACGTTCTCAGTTAAGTTGAATACTTCAGGGTTATGAAGCGAATTGACGGACCCCAGAAACTTATCTTTTGAAAAAGGGATACCAGCACAAGTGGTAATACGATGAGAAATCTTCACTGCTCTGAAAGATGTAATTGACCAACAGTCACATAAAGAACACATTTTCTGGCAAGTTTTACCAATTTGGGTAGAGCACTTCTAAACTTGCAAACTTATGACTTCCAAATTAACTTTTACTTCTTTCTTGCTGTCTGGTAAACGTTAGTTAAAATGGAAATTTGGTGCATAGAAAGGATTATTCTGATGCGAAGGAAAGGAAATCTGTAAGATAATGCCATCTTATCTCATTACAAAATCAACCTACACCCGCCTAGTCTCAGATAGTCTTTCTATTCTTCTACAAATGCCTTGAATTGCCCCAGAGGGATTGCAAATTTTCTGATTCTTCTTCACTTACTTTCATCTCAGCCAGCTGATAACCTTAGCTACTTTGAGAAAATACCTTCAAACCCTAGTTTCATGCGGCCTATACTGTCTGAAAACATTTTCTTTATGTTGCACTCATTCTCTTTTTAACGGAGTAGCTGTCCTTTCAAAGTTAACTACTCCTCCAGTGCACAAGTAATATTTTCCCACAAATAAGCCCACTTGTAGCTATTTTAAATACCTTTCCCTTTCCCAGATGTTACCTTGCCTCTTTTTTCATTCTTTTTGTCTGCATTAAATGAGGAAATCCACCAAGGCTGTGTGTGTGCTTTTTGGTACACTGCCTATATCCCATCTCTTAGTAATTTCATCTGTACCTGTGGCTTCTAATTACAAATCTTTTTTTTTTCTTTCTTTTTTTTTTCAGATCCTCTCACCTCAGCCTCCTGAGTAGTTGGGACTACAGAGGCCTGCCACTATGTCTAAATAACCTTTTTATTTGTTGTAGACACAGGGTCTCCCTATGTTGCCCAGGGTGGTCTTGAACTCTTGGGTTCAAGTTGTCATCCCACCTCAGCCTCCCAAGTGCTGGGATTACAGAGTTGAACCACTGTGTCTTCCCAATCACAAATCTTATAACAATTTTTTTTTTTTTTGAGACTGAGTCTCACTCTGTTGCCCAGTTGTAGTGCATTGGTGTTATCTTGGCTCACTGCAACCTCCACCTTTCAGGTTCAGGCAACTCTCGTGCCTCAGCCTCCCGGGAGGCTGGGACTACAGGTGTGTGCCACCACGCCCAGCTAATTTTTGTATTTTTAGTAGAGACGGGATTTCTCCATGTTGGTCAGGCTGGTCTCGAACACCTGACCTCAGGTGATCTGCCCGCCTTGGCCACCCAAAGTGCTGGGATTACAAGCATGAGCCACTGTGCCCCGCTGTAACAATTTTAAAGTGAACGCCACAGCTCCTGTTTTAAATTGTCAGTCATCGGTCTTTACCTAGATATTTCAGTTCTTCATACCAAAATATTTCAAACAAATCTTTGTATCTCTTTCAGCAGGTCAGTCCCTCCCCGAGCTTCCTTTTTTTGTGTTAGTAACATTTTCCCAATCAAAACTCCAAAAATCGGTTTCCACAGCCTCCTCTTCCTTGTCTTCCCATTCATCCATCATCAAGTTCTGGTAATTCTACCTTCCTTTCCTTTCTTTCTGCTAGTATTGCCTTTCAAGTTCCTATAGCTTACTGCTCTCCCATTACAATACTCTTCTTACAAGTCTAATCCGGAGCCACCAATTATTTAACGTTTATGCTACTCAATGAGGTGAAAGTAATCCATCAGAGTTTATGTGGGATAGGCATTTAAAGGCCTTAAAAATCACTCCATTCATTTCTTAAAATTTCAGAAATTCCTATTTTGAAACAAAGGTAAAAATCCAAAAAAGGAGGTGGTTCTCATATTAAGAAATATTTCTCACAATTCTGAAAAAAACTTACCCTCCATTGTGCCAACAATGTGCATTTTGCAAAATATATATAGCTACATGGAGAAAACAGAATCAAAGGCCTGGCAGGTCATTTGGCCTAAAGAAGCCCTGCAGAAGACAGAAACTGTAAATAACTGTTTCTAGTTCTCCAAAGAGCAGTGTTAATCAGGCTGCATCCATTTCTTCTACATAGACAAGGTCTGGCAATCAGAGAAGACACAGTTCTAGGAAGTCAGTGTTTATATTAAAGAAATGGCATTGACATTTCTGAGAATATGAGAAAAACACATTTAAAAAAAAAAAACTATTCCACAATTTTTGCAAAACATTCCAATGGAGACAAGCTTCTAAGGTCAGATAAGTGAGATACTTTTGAACAATTTTGCTATTGATAAAAATATAACTCACCAACACTGCTAGAGTATGAGTTATAATAGAAGTTGCTACCTGTCATTTAGAGACCCTGTTAGTTGTCCATGAGAGAAAACTGTGGGGCCTTTTGCAAAACCTAGTTTGTCTTGCACATGATTACTCATAGCATTGCATTTCAGTGCCATTATCCCAAAAGAAGAGAAGCTTCTTCAGAATGTCTTATCAATGATATTTTCATGAAATCATGTTGAGATCTTGTATCAATGATCATGGAAAAATGATTTTAGAAAGAAAAGACATAGTACGTTCATGTATTAAGAGAAGTAACTAATTACTGGCTCATGCTATGAGTAATTCCTTTGGCTCAGAAAATAGTTCAAGTGATATCCATGAATAATTTAACTTGTTATAAGGAAGTTCTTTAGCTCTATTTCCAATTGGTCACATAGGTAATAGATTAAAAAGAAAAGAATACTTTACAAGAATATTTAAACATCAACATTCATCTATAGACCTAACAAAACATAACAGAAATAAACACAATTTTTTTTGCTTTAAAAATCCTATTATAAAACAGTCAATGACAACTTTTCTTTCATGTAACTTATTCTGAATTAGCATCATGGTAATGTTTTTTATAATTGTAGTTGATAAATAATTTTACAAAAATAAATTGTTATGTAAATTAAATGAAGCATACTTTTTTGAAAAGAAGACATGTATTTTCTTACGATAAAAAGAATAAATCATTTTCATGAATATGTTCTAAGTCCAATGAAATAATTTTTAGTTAAGACAAAACAATAGATTTATTTAAAGAACAATATAAATACAAGACCAAAACAACATTTATAGGTTGCTGAACCTGAAGACTCGAAAGTCAGGTTACAATTTCTACTTCCAGAAGATTGTTTTTCCCCTTTCTTAATTTAAAGAAAAATGTACTCTTGGAAATAGGATAGCCAACAAGTAAAAGCAAAATTGTTCCTTAAAATTGCAACATTTGGGCCCAGCGCGGCGGCTCACGCCTGTGATCCCAGCACTTTGGGAGGCGGAGGCCTGTAATCCCAGCCACCCAGGAGGCTGAGGCAGGAGAATCACTTGAAGCCGGAAGGCGGAGGTTGCGGTGAGCAGAGATGGCGCCACTGCACTCTAGTTTGGGCAACAAGAGCGAAACTCCGTCTCAGAAAAGAAAAAAAAAAACCTGCAACATTTCAAAAGATGTTATATTAGTCATTTCAGTGAAAGTTTAATTAGGGAACGGTGTCTACCAGAATATATTTGGCATCCTT